>NC_000001.11:206366405-206517920 GCF_000001405.40 Homo sapiens
TGTAGCGCCTGTGGAGAATGAATGTTCTCGTTAAATATGGCCGTGACCTGCAGCTCCACACATGCCAGAGACACAGCTCAATTGTCCCCAGGATTTGGGGGGTGGGGACGATCATGGGGAGAGGACAGCCTGGCATGGAAAGGCAGGAATGCAGGAAGGCCTGTTGTTGTTTTCTTTTTGCGATAACTACAGCAAGCAATTCTTTGATCATGGTCCTTGTGTTTGTGTTTGGAAGGGATCAAGAAGCGATTTCCTTTCCCCTGGGTGTTTGAACCTTTGCTCTGCTCCTTGCTTCTCTGGGTATTAAGGGGACTCCTGAAAGCCCCCATTGTCTTCAGCCTCTTTCCACCCCCTTCCTTGGGGCTCCCCAAGAAGATTGTTGCCTGAACTCTGTAGGGCAAGAATGAGAAGCAGTGCCCCCAAGACAGTGCCTACCCTTGTCATTTACCCACCATCCTCATCTCATTTATCCTTAAGTCCCAAGACCAAAGCAAAGAACACATGGGCTGTTGAAGGCTTCCACAGGACTGCCCTGGTCAGTGGGAAAGCAGTAATGCTTTCTAGCTGGGTAACCCCTTGGCTGAGTTCCATCTGCACTGTGGCCAGGGTGCGTGGTGAGACATGCTTTTGCCATTTGCCCTTTGAACTGCCAACAATCCCAATGTAGCAAATGGATTTAAAGCTGATTGAGTTTTAGATTTCTTTCCTTTAACCAGAATATTCTAGCAGCTTATTTTTATAGTTCTGCTTATATGATTCTCTTTTTAACAGATGGAATCACAACCTTTTCTGCAGTATATATCTGATGAATTTAAAAACTGATACATCAAGAATATTCTTTTGTATATGTCTTTCTTGCTGTGAAAATTTATGGCCTTTCTTCCCCCTATCTTCGCTCTGTAATTATTAGGTGCTTACTATATGCAAGGTATTGTATAAGATTAGGAGAATACAGATAAGACAAAATAGCATTGAAGGAGTTTATGAGTTCAATTCCAACTTCACCAATTAATAGTTGTTCTCATGGACAAATTTTTTGACCTCTCTAAGCTTTAGCGTCTGTAAGTACTAAGTGCTTTTTGTGCAGAGAGATGTAGAGAGGTGAAATTTGAGCTGGGTTTTTAGTGAATGAAAATGATTTCAGTAATTAAAGATGAAAAAGTACGGAGTTTGTGAGCATGGAGGGGGAGCTGGAGTCAAAGGATATTCCATATGGAAGAACAGGCTTCAGGATGAAGGAGAGCACCGGAATGTGTGAGGACTCTTCAGAGGGTGGTGAGTAAAAATAGTTTGGCTAAATCAGAGTGTTAATGAGGAGAGCAGCTTGAAACAAAGCCGAAAAGAGCCTCGAATGCCAAACTTGGAGTTTGAACTTCATTCTGAGAGCACTAGGGAACGATGGAAGACCTACTCATAGGGAAATGATAAAATATTGCTGCTATTTCCGAAAGACTGGGCCTCTAATTCCAGGACAGGGTAATAAGAGCCTGAGATGTGGTAGCAGTGACAGGAGGAATGAAAAGAAGGAGACAGATGCCAGACATATCATGAAGGAGAAATGAACAGCGTATGGCCACTTATTGGAAAGAGAATTCGAAGTCAGCGATTACTTCTTTCAATTTTTTTATGCTAGTGCCACTTAGGAAAAGCCAGTGTGCTGTTACAGAATTTGAGGTGGCTGGTGAAGCTGACATTTTCACATATGTCTCAGGAACTAGATGCCCAAATCTTTCTCAGACCCCAGATGGCCCCATATAGAGCTTTTATACGTGCCAATTTTTAGAATTTCTTGTAGAGTTCCTCCATTTGGTGGTCACCAGAGGATCTCTGAGATTAGTATCTGGATTCTTAATCATTCAGCTAATTTCAGAGATGTCCTTTATTTGAGGTAGATTTAACCTCCTTTTTCTGTTTGATGGAGTGTGGTTTTTGAAAAGTCCCTAAGGAAGTAATGTGAAACCATACTTGAAACCTCAGGCTTGCTTCTCTCTTGTTTTACCAGAATGCTTTGGTTACCACGTCCTGGGAAATGAACAACTTAAAACGTAAGTGTGGCAAGCCTTCACTATCACCAGTATCTGTTCATTGTATCAAACAAAGCATATTTCCATTCTTATTAGGTTTCCAGAATTGCACTGGGCCTGGTGAGGGCTACAAATAAACATAAGATAATCTGTTTTCAAAATTTAAACTTAGAGTTGTGCTTCTAGAAATGGAAGCTTTTCTAGAAGAAAATTCAGACCAATCCTTTTGCTTCATGGGAGCTGCTTTCCTTGAAGAGGCTTCTGCCATTTTAGAAAATATTACTGAGTGTCAAAAAGCTGAGCAGAGTGTTTAATAGACTTGTAGGGCTAGCAGGACAAATATGGGAATTTAAGGCCCAGGGGCCCAGGATGGGTAGCCTTGGTAAAATTCCCCAGGCTTTGAGACACCAAAGGGATACAATTAAGAAGGAAAGATAAGCCAGAAATAGACTAAGGCAGTTTCATAGAGACTGAAGCCTGGATTCAAATTATCTTAACCTCTAATTGGATTAAGGTGATTTAGGATAGCCAGTGGCTAGAAACAAATTTAAATCCTCTCTAGAGGAAGATACTGTGGAAGATACTATCATCCTAGACCTAATATATCTCTCATCATTTTTCATCATGATGTTTGGCACTCAGTTATAAATAATTAGGCCTATGAGGAAATAAGAACTGTGACCAAAAGCTAAGAGAAACAGCTAGACCCACAGGAGATCCTAGTAATGGTGTTAACAGATGCAAACTTTAAATTAACTATGTTTAATATGTTTATGAAATTAAATTATAAAAACAAACCTGGAAATAATAAAAAAAATTAACTCAAAATGGATCAAAGGCATAAATGCAAGAGCCAAAACTATAAAACTCTTAGAAGAAAATATAGGTGTAAGTCTTCGTGATCTTGGATTAGGCAATGATTTCTTACATATGACACCAAAGCACAAGCGACAAAAGAAAAAATAAATAAATTGAACTTCATCAAAGTCAGAAACCTCTGTGTTTGAGAGGACACTGTCAAGAAAATGAAAAGACAGCTATAGAATGAGAAAAGGTATTTTCAAATCATATATCTCATCAAGGTCTAATTTTCAGAATATATAAAGAATTCTTAGAACTCAGCAACAAAAAGATGACCAGTCCAGTTTAAAAATGGGCAAAAGACTTGAATAGGCATTTCTCCACAGAAGTTACACAAATGGCCAACAAGCACATTTTTGACACTGTTATTTATTGGGCTACTGCAAATCAAAACCACAATGAAACACCACTTCACACCCACTAGGATAGCTATAATTTTAAAAAGGAAGAAAGAAAAGGAAAGAAGAGTTTTGGAGAGGGTATGGAGGAATCAGAACCCTCATACATTGCTGGTAAGATTGTGAAATGGTGCAGATGCTATGGAAAACTGAAAATTCCTCCAAAACTTAAGCATAGAATTAACCTGTGACCCATCAATTCCACATCTAGGTGTATACCCAAGAGAATTGAAAACATATGCTCACACAAGAACTTATACACAAATGTTCATAACAGCATTATTCAAAATAACCAGGCTGGGCACGGTGGCTCACGCCTGTAATCCCAGCACTTTGGGAGGCTGAGGTGGGCAGATCACGAGGTCCGGAGATCGAGACCATCCTGGCTAACATGGTGAAACCCTGCCTCTACTAAAAATACAAAAAAATTGGCCAGGCGTGATGGCAGGCACCTGTGGTCCCAGCTACTGGGGAAGCTGAGGCAGGAGAATGGCGTGAACCCAGGAGGCGGAGCTTGCAGTGAGCAGAGATCGCACCACTGCACTCCAGCCTGGGCGACAGAGCGAGACTCCATCTCAAAATAAATAAATAAATAAATAAATAAATAACCAAAAAGTGGAAGCAACCCAAATGTTAATGAAGTGATTTATGGAACAAACTTAAAGTATGGCATACCTATACAATTTAAACAAAATGTGTCATGTCCATACAATAGAGTAGTATTTAGTCATAAAAAAGAAGGAAGTGCTGATACATGCTACAATATGGATATACCCTGAAAACATTGTAAGTGAAAGAAGCTAAACATAAAAGGCCACATATTATATGATTCCATTTATAGTAAATGTCCAGAGTATGCAAATCTATAGAGACAGAAAGTAGATTAGTGGTTGCTAGGAGCTGGGGGAAGGAGAGATGGGGAGTGACTACTAACAGGTTTGAGTTTTCTTTTGGCATGATTAAATATTCGGGACTTAGTGGTGGTGGTTGTACAACCTTGCAAATATACTAATAGCCACTGAATTGTGTACCCTGTAGTGGTGAATTGTACAGTGTGTGAATTATATCTCAATAATTTAAAAAAATCAAACAAATTTTAGTACAAAAAATGCAGTAACTAAAAGAGCTCAATGTGTAGATCAAGTAGCAGATTAGATGGTGCTGAATAAATAGTTAATGAACTGAAACGTCAGAAAACAATGCATACTGAAGCTCAGAGAGATAAACAGATGGAAAATACAGAAAAGAGCATAAGAGACTTATGGGATAGGGTAAGTAGGCCTAACATGCTTCTACTTGAAGTCTCAGAAGAAGAGAACAAAGAGAATGGGATAGAAGCAATATTTGAAGAGATAATGGCTGTGAATTTCCCTAAACTATAAAAGACTTCAAGCCACAGACTGAAGCATTATGAGCCCCAAACAGGAGAAATACAAAGAAAATACAAACAGCTAGAGGTAAAAAAGACGTATTATCTTCAGTGGAGCAACAGCATGGTTGACAGCTGACTTCTGAACAAAAGCAATGGAAAGCAGATGACAGTGGAATGAAAGTGTAGAAAGGAATACCCTTCAAAAATGAAGGTGAACTAAAGATGTTTTCAGACAAGAAAAATATGAGAAAATATATCGCCAGCAGACTTGCACTAAAAGAAATACTAAATGGCATTATTTAGGCAGAAGGAAAATGATCCCAAATAGAATCTTAGAAGTGCAGTAAAGAATGAGGAGCAACAGAAACTATATATAAGAATATAGATTGGCCGGGCACGGTGGCTCATGCCTGTAATCCCAGCACTTTGGGAGGCCGAGACGGGCAGATCACGAGGTCAGGAGATTGAGACCATCCTGGATAACATGGTGAAACCCCATCTCTACTAAAAATACAAAAAAATTAGCCAGGCATAGTGGCGGGCACCTGGAGTCCCAGCTACTTGGGAGGCTGAGGCAGGAGAATGGCGTGAATCCGGGAGGCAGAGCTTGCAGTGAGACGAGATCATGCCACTACACTCCAGCCTGGGCAACTGAGTGAGACTCCGTCTCCAAAAAAAAAAAGAAAAAAAATATAGATCTAAGTGAATAATCACTGTTAAAAACAACACTAATAATCATCTGTGGGGTTTTCCTTTTTTAGATGTGTGGGTGGGAGGGACAGAGTCTTGCTCTGCTGCCCAGCCTGGACTGCGGTGGCACAATTATAGCTCACTGCAGCCTTGAACTCCTGGGCTCAAATGATCCTCCCACCTCAGCGTCCCAAGTATAACAGCTGGGACAAGAGGTGTGTGCCACCATGCCTGGCTTATTTTTTATTTTTTGTAAAGAGAGGGTCTATCTGTTGCCCAGCCTGGTCTTGAACTCCTGGCTTCAAGTGATCTTCCTGCCTTGGACTTCCAAAGTGCTGTGGTTACAGGCATGAGCCACCACACCAGGCCAACCCTGTGGGGTTTTAAATATGTATAAAATTAATATAAATGGCAACAATGAAATCAACAATAGAATCTGTGTCTGGGTGGGGGTAGGGAAATGGGTTTAAAGATATTTTCAGAAAGTGGTAAAAGTAGTAATTTGTATTAGGTGTTGGCAATTCAAGGATATATGTTGTAATTTTTGGTAACCACTCAAAGAATAGTATTGTACCAATCTAAGAAAGGGACAAATTCAGTTAATAAAAAAGTAACTCAAAAGAAGGAAAGAAAAATTCTGGGGAGGGCAAAACTATAGAGATACAGAACAAATCAATGGCTTCCAGTGGTTAAGGGTAGCGGAGAGTTTGACTCTAAAGGTGCAGGATACAAGAGGTTTTTGGTGGGTGATGGAACTGTTCTGTGTCTTAATTGTGGTGATGGTTAGACAACTCTGTGCATTTGCCAAAGCACATGGAACTGTATGCCAACAAGAGTGAATTTTCTGAATGTTTTGTAAATGGAAGAAAAAAAGAAGGTAGGAAAGGAGAGGAAAGAGGAAAATAGAAGAGGCAGGACAAATAGAAAGCAATTAGCAAGTTGGTGGGTTTAAACCATAATATAAGGTGTAAATTGACTTATGCAAATTAAAGACAGATTTTTAAAAAGCAAAACTAGAGTGTATGTTGCTTGTAAGAGAACAGATACACTTTAAATATAAGGATAAAGAAAGATTTAAAGCAAAGTGATAGGAAAAGATAGCTACAATAAAATCAGGCCAGGTAGATTCCTTTCTTTCTTTCTCTCTCCTTTCTTTCTTTCTTTCTTTCTTTCTTTCTTTCTTTCTTTCTTTCTTTCTTTCTTTCTTTTCTTTCCTTTCTTTCTTTCTTTCTTTCTTTCTTTCTTTCTTTCTTTCTTTCTTTCTTTCTTTCTTTCTTTTCTTTCTCTCTCTCTCTCTTTCTCTCTCTCTCTCTGCCCCCCCACTTCTTTCTTTCTGTCCTTTTTTTTTCTTTTTTTTTTTTTTTTTTCTGAGTCTTGCTCTGTCACCCAGGCTGGAGGGCAGTAGTGCAATCTCAGCTCACTGCAACCTCTGCCTCCCGGGTTCAAGCAGTTCTCCCGCCTCAGCCTCCCAGATAGCTGGGATTACAGGCATGCGCCACCATGCCCAGCTAATTTTTGTATTTTTAGTAGAGACAGCGTTTCACCATGTCAGCCAGGCTGGTCTCAAACTCCTGACCTCAAGTGATCTGCCCACCTGGGCCTCAAAAGGTGCTAGGATTACAAGCCTGAGCCACCGTGCCCAGGCAGTCCAGGTAGATTTCAATGCAAAAAGTATTTTTCGTTATAAAGAGAGACATTTCCAGGCTGGGCATGGTGGCTCACTCCTGTAATCACAGCACTTTCGGAGGCCGAGGCAGGCAGATCACTTGAGGTCAGGAGTTCGAGATCATCCCGGCCAAAATAGTGAAACTCTGTCTTTACTAAAATACAAAAAATTATCCAGGCATGGTGGTGAACACCTGTAGTCCCAGCTACTTGGGAGGCTGAGGCAGGGGAATCACTTGAACCCAGGAGGCGGAGGTTGCAGTGAGCCGAGATGGCGCCACTGCACTCCAGCCTGGTGATAGAGCGAGACTCTGTCTCAAAAAAGAAGAGAGAGAGACATTTCCTAGTAAAGACTAAGTTTCCAGGAAGAAATATATACTTAATAACATAGGCTTAAAATATGTAAATCAAATGGGACAGAATTAAAATGGGAACTAGATAAATCATCACCCCAATGAGAGATTTAACACACCTGTCTCAGTGAATGATTAAACAACTAGACCAAAAAAGTCAGTAAAAATACAGAAGAGTTGAAAAACAACAAACTTGACCTAAATGACATATATGGATACTGCGCCTGACAACTGCGGGTAGATACACATTCTTTTTTTTTTTTTTTTTTTTTTTGAGACGGAGTTTCGCTCTGTCACCCAGGCTGGAGTGCAGTGGTGGGATTTCGGCTCACTGCAAGCTCCGCCTCCCGGGTTCACGCCATTCTCCTGCCTCAGCCTCCCGAATAGCTGGGACTACAGGCGCCCGCCACTACGCCCGGCTAACTTTTTTTTTGTATTTTTAGTAGAGATGGGGTTTCACCTTGGTCTCGATCTCCTGACCTCGTGATCCGCCCGCTTCGGCCTCCCAAAGTGCTGGGATTACAGGCGTGAGCCACCGCGCCCGGCCAGATACACATTCTTTTCAAGTGTACGTGGAACATTTACAAAGTTTAAACCTGAAATGGGGAGGAAAAATCGAAGAGCTTAGGGGAGAAATTAGAGCTGGAGATTGGAAATCTCCATTTCCAAAGTCTACCTTCTTTTTCTCACAATTCCATGATTTTTCAGTAGGAGTGGGGTACTGGCCAAGAGGGAAGGTATCCTCCCCCAAGAATATTGATTTTTCTTTTTTCAACTGTATGTAGGCCATGACTAATGGGAATGGCTACCCATGTGTTTACTGTGGACAAAGACAAGAGGCTTCAAACCACCATTGTAGCTGAAGAAAGCTGATACAGGCTCAAATCTTCATCCCAGTCCCTAGGCAATGCATTCTAATTTCTGTCAGTAAAGGGCTCTACTCATTCTCCCAAAGTTGGCTTTGTGCTCCTCTTAGGTCCAACCCTGGCACCTGAGGTGTCAAGAAAATGCTGTCTTCATAACTCACTGGAGCCTCTTCCTCTCGATTCTAAAGGCTACTCCCAGTGTTCTAAAACTACACAGATCTCTCGATGAATTGGCTTTGCTGCTGGGTTCCTCTTTCTTAAAAGTATTTAATCAGCGATTTTCCCAGTGCCCCAGGCATTTCCTGTACGAGTGCTGCTGACTGTTTTACTTCCTACCAGGCTGCCCTCCTCCTCTTGGCATTCACACTTCCAACTTTCAGATGAGCTCTATTAACTCCTGTTCTTCCAGCCTCCGCCTGGCTCAGCCATCTGGGAGCCACACAGGCATTCTTTCCATCCCCCAGCTCATAGATTTCCTTATTGTAGAAGGGCATATGTTTTCAAGTACCTTATCATTCTGGCTCTTTCCCCCGATTCTCTCCCAGTTCCAAGCCATTGATTGTTTTTCCTCCTTAGTTCATTTTACAGCTGCTGAGAGATTTGTGCTCTCGTGCTGCCTGTTTGCTTTTGTGTCTTTTGTCCCTTATGTCCCAGTCTACTCAAGGATACCCACAGTCACCTAGATACCATTTCTACTCTGTGCTTTTAGTGTCCTGCTTGGGAAATGGGGTGATCACTCATCTTCAGAATGACCTCAAGAAATGCTTTGGCATGAGAGATCAGGGCCTGAAGACATTACGCCCCCACTCAAATCATTATCCAAAAGGGTAAAAGATGGAAATTTGCCAAGACAAAGATCACAGTGGTAGTTTAAGAAATGAAAGCTTAGATTTGATTGTCTGTTTTGTTTTAAGGGATGTTGTTTTGAGTTTATTTTCTTAGTATTAGGATAGGTCATTCAAAGAGATTGGAACAACCATGGAAGAACATTCAGATTATTATAGGACTGTGTTTCAGACTGGGAGAGCAGAGGGCCGTTAGCCTCTTCCTGACCCCACCCTGAACTCCCCTGAACTCCCACCCTTGTCCCGAGTATGCCTGTCCCTGACAAGAGACTTTGGTCAGGGACCAAAGTGAGCTTTGTTAGTGAGCATTCACAGAGGGTAGGAGCTGAGTCCACAAAGTTCACATCATGCCAAGGAATGGATTTCCTCCCAGGGCCACTAGCATTACTTGTGGGTTATCAAGTGTTACTGCTCACACATTCCAGAGCTTCTGGAAAAGCCGTAAGGAAATGGCTTTCAGAAAGCCATTTCTGTCCTAGAGGAGAGAGGTCCTGGATTTCACTGAACCAGAACTTGATGGGTGGTTTTGGTATTCTGTGACCTAGGTAGTGGGGAGCTCCTTCCTTTGGATGTTTCCTTTATGCCCACAGTCGAACCATATCCTAGTTGTACAGCCAAGAAGGATCTTTTCTGTTTAATCTATCTGGAGGAATAGAAGGTAATTGTATCCTCCTTATTTTCATTCTGCCACCCCTACCTTCATCATTTCTTCCTTTCTGCTAAGCACTTTTTATCGTCTTTCTTTGTTTCGTTTTGGGAGTTTTGTTTTTTTGTTTTCTTTCCTCAGGAAAGCTGAATTATTTCTTACAGAGTCATTTAGTTCTTACTGAAACTGGGGAAGAAAAAGATTATGCAACAGCAGGCATAAGGAAAAACAGAGAACGTTCTTCCCTTCGGGCCCACAGAGCCCATTGGAGGAATTCAGCTACAATCCTGCCTGGGAAGTAGTTTCCAGGACCTTCGCAATTCCACATAGCATCTTTAACATGTTTGAGAGTACGTAAGGAGGCAGCATAGTGCGGCGGAAAGAACACTCAAGTGAGTGTTGAGGGGGCTGGATTCTAATATTAATATTAGCCAACATTTATTGAACAGGCTAGGTGCTAGATTCTGTTTAAAGCACTTTATGTGGATTATCTCACTATTCTTATTATCCTATTTTACAGATGTGGAAGCTGAAGCATAGAGGGTTTAAATATAATTTACCCAAGGTCATCAATTGGGGAGTAGAAGTAGGATTCAATTCCTGCTCCAGAGCCTGCATGTTCAGCTCTCTTTTAATACTGCATGTGGTCCTTGATAGGCTACTGACCCTGGAAAAGTCATTTCAACTTTTAGGGCTCATTGGTGAACCATAACCAAAGGGAGCTCATTGTGGCTAACCTCTGATGGAGTTTCCACTTTTAATAATTTATATGATGAAACGCAGCTATATTGTTTAGTTCTTGTCATTATGTGAAAGCATAGTATTTAAACTTTGATCTCATTGATTCAGCAACTGATTATTTTATGGCCACTGTGCACAAAGCAATGGGCTGGGTACCACAGAGGATTCAGAAAAATGCTTAAAAAGTTAAAACCTATCTCTTCCATTAGCTTTAGATGGTTTCATATTGTAGTTGCTTTGAGATTTTTTTAGACTAAGTTTTTCAGATAATTAAACAGGAATCAAATTCAAAAACTATTCATATTCCAGAAGAGGAATCCTGAAACAAGTATTGGGCCTTAGACTAGTCAAGTTTCTGACATTTTCTTTTAAAATATAACTTGTCACTAGGATAGTTTATATCCATTAACTCCTGAGTGAAGGAGCTTCTGGTGAAATTGTTTTTTATGGTGCTTACAAGCTCAAGGGGTTCTTTAAAAATGGAATGTGACTGCTTTGGGAGTCACTAATACTGAAGCTGGATCATTATAACCTGAAATATCCATTAGTAACTTAGAAAGACAAACTCAAAGAAAAAGAATTTACTATGTAATAGCTGGATTTTTTGAAATCAGATTTTTTTTTTTTTTTTTTTGGCAAGCTAGATTCAATATCTAGCTTGCTGTGGAATTAGGTTATGGTGTGGAAACCTCTTGGCTGGGACAGGAAAAAAAATTGATCTTAAACTAAAAAAACTAACTTAAGATATTCCATTTCTAGTAATACCTTTGAGATTGGAAGAATTGCATTCTGATGGGCCCAGACGTTAGATTAATGTCCATCTTTCTCAACAGGTTGTAAACTTTTAAACTTTCTGTTTTGCATTCAGACCACAAGTGCCTGACACTTAATAGATGTTCTATAAATATTTGCTGATGGACTCTTTATTGCTCACTCCCTAAAATCCAGCCATTTCTCCCTTGCCAGCATTCAATAATTGAACCTGCTTTGAAACATCTGATCAGCCACTTCAAGACGGCAAGTTATTTTAGCTCCTGTCTAAATAAGTTAGTGGGCTCCAGTCCTTAAACCACTATTTTCTTTATTAATTCCTCAAGTACAGACTTTTGTATGTAACCAGTCTTTTTAAACCTGTGTATAATGACTCATTAATGAGTTGTAAAATAAATGTAGTGAGTTATGACCAATATAAAAAAATAGAAAAGGCCAGGCACAGTCGCTCGAGAATATAATCCCAGCTACTCTAAGAGGCTGAGGTGGAGGGATCTTTAGGCCAGGAGTTTGAGACCAGCCTGGGGAAACATCACGAGACTCCATATCTGAAAACAATTTTTTTAAAAATTAGCCAAGCATGCCTGTTACCAGCTACTTGGGAAGCTGAGGCAGGAGGATTGTTTGAAGCCAGGAGTTTGAGACCAGCCTGAGCAAACTCAGTGAGATCCCATCTCTACAAAAATTACCAAAATTAACCAGCATGTTGGTACACATCTGTCGTCCCAGCTACATGGGAAGCTGAGGGAGGAGGATCACGTGACAGTTGAGCCCAAGAGTTCAAGGCTGCAGTGAGCTATGATCAGGCCACTGCATTCTAGCCTGGGCAATAGAGCAAGACCTTGTATCTAAAAAGAAAGAAAGAAAAGAAAAAAGATAAAAGAATAGGAAATATCATAGTGGACAGCACATAAGTAGAGGTGAAGCCAGCTGGACTTCCTCGGTGGAGTGGGGTCTTGGAGAACTTTTCTGTCTAGCTAGAGGATTGTAAATGCACCAATCAGCACTCTGTAAAAACGCACCAATCAGCGCTCTGTGTCTAGCTAAAGGATTGTAAAGGCACCAATCAGCACTCTGTAAAAATGCACCAATCAGCGCTCTGTGTCTAGCTAAAGGATTATAAATGCACCAATCAGCACTCTTAAGAGCTGTAACACTCACCGCGAAGGTCCACAGCTTCATTCTTGAAGTCAGTGAGACCAAGAACCCACCAGAAGGAACCAACTCCGGACACATAAGTACTTTTATTATAGACACATATTATGCTGTATTGCAATAAAAAATGTATTTTTTGAACATCCTAGTCTACCTATCTTCAGAAGGCAAAAGCACCTCTGGTGTCCCTGTTGTGGTATCTCCTAGCCTACCTCTCTATAAAAGTTTTGCAATTAAGTATATTTGTGTTTTATACATCCTTGGGCTTCTCATAGTTTAAGGTCCTAACTGGAGTTCAGTCTTTCTCAGAGCCGTCTCATGGTATCCTCACTGATGAATGAATGCTGAATAGAAAGAGCCCTGCTTGCATATATGCAGGTAGTATGGTGGAGGGGAAATCTAGAAGTCATTTCTGAGCTCTGACCTGCTGGATCATCACCCCCTGAACCCCCAGAGCCTCGGCATACAGCCTCACACTGTACCACCTATTTTGGTGGCCCAAGTTAGCTGAGAGAGAGGACCAGACACAGTGCCCACCATCACCTAGCACTGGCCCTGCTACCAAACAGTCATTCCTTTTAGCCCTCTCCTCCCCACCAAAAGCATTTCAGGCAAAGTGCCAGCTCCTGAAATGTGGCCTCTTTGAAGTGGTTAGTGAATGCCCCTGAAACCACCACCTTATGTATGGTGGTGCTTCTGCTGCCAGAGCTTAATACAGGGTCATGTTCCTTTCCTCTGAAATCTGTAACATAAATTCAGTTTTAAACTGGATTTTTTTTTTAACAGTTGGTCTCTGAACAATCTTTAGGGTGGGGAGGGGATAGTAGTGGTTGTTGGGGAGATATGTGCCCTTGAAAACTGGATTCTTTTTTGGAAAACTGCTGACACAGGCTAAATGGCAGAGAACTAAATGGCCCTACTGTTCCTACCTGCTGACAGGCTCAGCCTTGGGATGGGGCTGAAATGAGCTCTCGCCACATGGCAGAGACATGCCTTCCTCTTTTTATTCTTCTTTCTTACAAATAGGGGGTACTTTTGTGCCTGTCAAAAAATACAGCTTTGAAATGTAGATAACCAATTAACAACAGTCCCACCCCCAACTTGGAAAGCACATGAGTGCTGATCTAAATAACTAGAGAATCGGTAACAAGTAACCTCCCTATTGAGAACAGGTCTGAAACCTCTTTCATAATTGGTGTTCTTTGGGAAACGCTAATAGACAAACCCATCCAAGCTCAGGAAATGTACTGATTTAAAGAGGTCTAAGGAAGAGTGACCAGCCCAGTGGCCAGGCATCCCGGATGCCTAGGATCCTTATGTTTCCGTACATATCTGCTGTTACATCCTTTCTGTGAGCAAGGAGGCTTTGGAACATTACAGTCTTGTCTTGGGGAGATGAGATGACACAGTGCATTTCAGTTCTGTTTCCAATGCTGTTATCTGTTGGAAAAAGGAAGCTTTCCTACCCATTTTGTCAGCATACAACTGGTAGGAGCTGTTGCAATCTCATTGTCTTCTGATCAGCCACTCGGCAGCAGTCAGAGTGGAGGCCAGTGAAGCACTCTGACCAAATGGTTGTGGTGAGTTTCAAAATAAGAGATCCCAGCCTGAGCACACCATCACACTTCCCATCCGATAGAACCAGCATTGTTAACTGTACCACATCTCTATTCTAAATTTAGGCATCTTTTTTTTTTTCCAGGCAAAGATTACTATGCAAACATTTAAGAGAAAAACTTTGTCCAAAGTAATTTTTTCCCCCAACTTCTATTTGGTTTCCTGCAATGTTGAGATGACTCATTCTCTTCCAAGAAATTTTAAAGAAAAGAGATGCAGGCTGTATGTTAGTACACAAAGACTGCTCTGTAAATTCTTTTTCTTCCCTGTCTAGAAACCCCTTGCCTTTTTATAGAGAACGGAAAAGCTCTACAGTCTTCATTGTCATGTACTCGGCCTCATCAGGTTTTGTTGTTCCCAGGAATAAATGTCCCCCTTGTCTTTGGGTGGGGCCCCCTTGTGGCTTACCAGCTCTGTCAACCCCACTGCAGTGGCCAGCACGGAAGCCCTTCCTGGGGCCACGCTTTCCCCCAAAGGCACACAGTTAAGGTTTCTGAAACAGAGAACGAATGGCCTTTTATCATCTGTGAAAGGAGAGACACTGGCAATTTCCTGCCTCTGGCCTAGTGTCAGAATTTCTCCTGATTGCTAGAGGCTGTATTGCACATTTTAAGTGGGCTCGCTACACATGTAGTCCCAGCCCAACCCTCAGCCAGAGGGAGCAGTAAGTCAGATCACTTCAGCAGCCTGTTCAAATAAACAGGGATAATAGTTGAGTGGTCCTCCCAACTAATCAGTACATGAAAGGAAACATCTGCCTGGGCTTAATTGCTGTTGTTTTTGGTTACACTTTTCCCTCCCCTTCTTCCCCCATCCCCCACTCTGGGGCTAGGTTATTTAAGTCATGGGTAAGCAACAGGGTAGAGGAATAGGAGCTTTCTCCTTTAACCTCTGCCATTCAAACATAAGGAGGAGTTAAGAAACGATAGGCTGGCAGGGGGAGATGGCCCGGAGGCAGGAGGGCAGGGCGGTGGGAAGTGATACTCATGGTCACTTCCTGACCCTGTTGCTGACTCTGGGGCTCAGAGTGAGTCATGTTGCCTCACTTCACCTCCTTGGGCCTCTGTTGCTTCAGTGGAGCTCAGCTTTCCTCTCAATGGAAAGGACAGGCTGGTATGTGAGATCACAGATGAAAGGCATTCCCTCTTGTGGCTTCTTCCAGCAGTTGAGGTCATTGGATGAGAGACCCTGGAATGATAAATTTAAGACTGGCAAGATCCCCTGAACCCGTCCATTTTGTAGAGCATCTGGGTCCCCGAGGAGAACTTGCTCATTATCTTCTAGCCAACCAGCCATACACTAAAGGGAGGGATGTTTGAAGCTAATATGGACTCTAGAAGCCAGGCAGAAGATCATGTAGAATCATAGAATGGCAGAGGTTGGAAAAGACTTTAGAAATGTTTTAGCTGAAGCTTTTCATTTTATAGAAGGGAAAACAGAGGGCCAGAGAGGTTAACCAGGTTGTCCAGAGTTACCTCTTTGGTAATGCAGGAGCCAGGAATAGAAAGAGAATCTTGTGATTGCTAATTTAGGGCTCCTTCCACCCCTTTCCCCACTATCAGATGTAAAAATTCATGCTTACTCATGACAGAGGCCACACATAGGTTATATTCCATAATGAATACCTTAATAGAAAAATGGGCAGAGAACACCTTAATAAGAAAATGGCAGATTATAAAAGAAAAATGAAAATGACTGATAAACATTTTTAAAAATGCTCAGGCTCATTAGAATCAAAGGATTGCAAATTACAATAGGATACCACATCAAATTGTCAAGACAAAAAAATGTGAAATAAACATTCATATATGCTATTGGTGGTATTTTAAATTGGTACCGTTTTTCTCAAAGGCATTTTAGTGGTATAAATGGTAGTCTTTGACCCAGCAATGTTATTTCTAGGAGAAAATAATGAAAGGTGTGTGCATTAGATCATATACAAAGTAATGTGATATGGCATTTTTTATCACAAAAATTTAGAAGTGAAGTAAATGTCCAAGAATGGGAGCTACATCAATAGAACGTATTATAATGCTATAGAACAATAATACATGTGGAAATGTTTACAACATATGTTTAAGTGAATAAGTTACAAAACAGGATTTATAATGCAATCCCAATTTTGTAAAACTAGAAAAGATTAGAAAAATACATAACAACACTTAGAGTGGTGATTTCTTAGTGGTAGGAATTTAAGAG
Source organism: Homo sapiens (assembly GCF_000001405.40). Lineage (NCBI taxonomy): Eukaryota > Metazoa > Chordata > Mammalia > Primates > Hominidae > Homo > Homo sapiens. The sequence goes on from NC_000001.11 coordinate 206,382,609, forward strand.
TTACTTTTGTTTTCTTTTTTGAGGTTTTCTAGTTTCCTTATTATAATAAACATACATTACTTTTGTAATCAGAAAAAAAAGTATTTTTTAAGTAGAGATGTATGTACCTTGAAAAAAAGCAAGATCTTAAATGATTGTGTATCTGACATGAAAGTCCTTCCTTTTTTTGCCTGGGAGCTAGCAGCTATGGTGGGAGGGATGGGAAACAGTATTATAACTTCTGTTAGGGTGGCATTTTGATACCCGAATTTCTGGTAGGAAAGATCTAGAAGGAGCTGGCAAAAGATAAAACAAGGGCTTTCCCTCTCAATGACCCATGCTGCCAATCAGTTTTAGCTCTCTTAGGTTTGGCATACAACACTTAGTATAGAAGGTGTGACAATTTCCTTCCTGCTTCCTCCTTTCTTTCCTTTTCTTTTCTTTTCTTTTTTTTGAGACAGAGTCTCACTCTTGTCACCCAGGCTGGAGTGCAATGGTGCAATCTCGGCTCACTGCAACCTCCACCTTCTGGGTTCAAGCAATTCTCCTGCCTCAGCCTCCTGAGTAGCTGGGACTACAGGCGTGTGCCATCAGGCCCGGCTAATTTTTGTATTTTTAGTAGAGATGGGGTTTCACTATGTTGGCCATGCTGGTCTCGAATTCCTGACCTCAGCTGATCCACCCACCTTGGCCTCTCAAAGTGCCGGGATTACAGGTGTGAGCCACCGTGCCCAGCCCTCATTCTTTATTTCTACTGCTCTATGTAGTTAGATGTCAGCCCTGGGTGGCAGCAGCAAAGAACCCAGGAGCCATCACTGCTCAAGATTAACTAGTTGGAGACCCCTTAACATATATTTTCAGCATCTAGTAACAGCTAATCTCACAGGCAGTCAATATTGAGATACCGCTGCCTTGTGAGTTTTGGGTAGAAATAAAGCAAGTAAGAAATATAGTTCCATCCTGCTTGGAGTTTTCTATTTAGTTAGGGACTTTGAAGTCCCTAAATGTTTATATACTTTTTCCTATTTCATCCCATTACACATCTTACTTTCCTTTGAAATCTTCTGGAATGCTTGACTGCAAGTATCTGAGAAACCGTGTTCCACCTAACAACAGTTGCTAGGTAGGATGTGGCTTTCAGGCCTGCTCTTTGGGGACCAATAGAAAAACCAAAGGCTACCACCCTTTTTCCCTCTACGCAATTGCCTTTGCTAGGCTATAGAGAGGGCACATTTCATTTTATTAAAACTCTTTGAGTAATCTGACCATAATTGGGTCTGATTGGAGTGGTTATCTGATTTGCTGGGTTAAATAATGGGCCTTAATTGAGTCTGGGTTATTTGTAGAGCCAGTGTGGCTTTTGCCTTTGTTGCTCCCTCCTCTCTCTTCTGTTTCCCAATTAACCTTCATTCCTCTTTCCTTGCAGAGTAAAGAAGTCGGCCAGCAGCTCCAAGATGATTTGATGAAGGTCCTGAACGAGCTCTACTCGGTAAATCAGATGGGTTGCTTGGCTCTTTAACAAGCAGAGGGAAGCAGCATTTGGCAGCTTGCAGCCATAGTACATCAGCAACAGAACTGAACTGAGGTTGAGGACAAGTGCATGGTCCCCACTGGGGGTGACCCCACCCATCTCTTTTTTCACACTCGTCTTTTCAAAACGGAATGAGTCAAAAAATACTTCCTCAAAATAAGTTTTCTCCTCAGCTATGCAAGCTCACCCTGGCTTTATTTGGGGCATAATTACTAGAGACCAGCCAAAGTCTAGGTCATTGGCACAATGGACCCTGTTAGCAGCAAACCAGGGACCCTGAACTAATGGCAAGGAACGTAGCCTGCATTGCACTATTAATATGTGCCTGTCGGAAAGCCTTTATTGTTCTAGGTTTTTCATCAGATCTTGGATTGATGTATGGCTTTGAGACTAGAACAAATGCTCTAGAGGGCAGCACAGAGTCCTAAATGTCCCCAGTAAGAGGGACCAGTTTGAGCAGAGAGAGCTTTGCCTGGCTTCCTGGAGTTTTATAAAGCCAAACCTCAGTGACGAGGCAGGCTGCGGGCTTGGAGAAGAGAACACAATCTGTTCTGAGATGACTGGCGCTTCAGGCACATGATGCCTGTGGCTGGTGCGTGTTAATTCATGCGCAGAGAGGTGGTGGTGGTGGTTGTTCCCCAGCCATGTTTTTCTAATTATAATGAAAACAAACACACACTCACACACATACACACCAAGGAAATTCCTGTTGTTATACAGGGAATACTTAAGTTATACAGCTAATGCCTTTCAGGGGCCCCTTCTCCAGCTTGGATGTGCCAGCCTACTATGTCATTCTCCAGGGTTTCTCCATCCTGTTTGAAGGTGATACTGATTTCTGATGTTTACTTGCTTATTTGCTGCATTTTTTCTTTTCTTTTCTTCCTTTGTTTTTTTTTTTAATTCACAGAACAGGCAGTGGTGACATGCATGACAGGCATTTGGGATCAGATGTTGCTGATCCAGAAGCCTAGGTGTGGCCATTTTGTCATGGCAACTGTTAAGCAAGTAAATAGGGTAGAGTAGTCATCTGACTTATCTCCAGAGATGTTCAGTTTGTTTTGAATTTCTACTCTGTGACACTTCTGCTCTGAAGCCAAGCATAGATAGATGGTACCTTTCGTTCAACTCCCAAGTTTTCATTTCTCTCAAATGAAGTTAAGAGGTTTTAAAAATAGAAACACATCGATGTGAGCCATTTTCAGACTGGATGGGTTTCCTGAACCTTGTCTTTTTAATGCTTTACTTCTGCTCTTTTAGATCAATTTCTAAGCGCCAAGAAGAGCTATTACTCCTTTCTCCTAGCAGAGAATTCCCTAAGATAGAAAATGACACATGTAGTCATTGTATAAATTCTTTTATTTTCCTGTAAGCATCTTGACCCTCTACTATTTGCAGCTGTTTCTGGGGAGGAGTAGTTTGGATAACCAACAAACCTTGCCACTTCTTCAGTGGGACTCAAGGCAGCAGAAGAAGACTACTGTCTAAGGATCTGTTAGCTTTTACCCAGGGTCCTATGTCTCTTCATATGCTGTGCTTTAAAAAAAAAAAAATAAGTGAAAGGGCGTAAGCTGTGTTTGAGTGAGGAAGAAAACCTTGGAACTTATTTCTCTGGTCTGCAGAGGGCCGAGCTGCTACCTCTGACTGCAGACTTAAGACAGCCCAATATTCGCCAACTACTTTACTGGCCATTGTGAGGCCATGGTCAACATAGAGCATAACATCTTCCCATTGATGTTCAAACTGAGAATTGCCTGAGTGTGGTATCCCCTGCCATAAGGTGAGCTGGAATACACCTTCATAATCTGTTAAAGGCCAAAATTAAAATGTGATGTTTTCCTCTAGTAGGCAATGGAAAGAGGGAAAAAAAAGAGTAGAGGCACTAGGAAGTTTCAGAGAAGTCAAAACATTCTGGTCCAAATGGAGTTTTAAGCAGAGGGAGTTTTACCCCGAGAGGACATTTGGCAATGCCTGAAGACATTTTTGATTGTCACAACTGGAGGAGTAGAAGGTGCTACTGACATCTAATGATCTAGAGGCCAGGGGTGCTGCTAAAATCCTACAGTGCACAGGGCAGCTCCCACAACAAAGAATTATCTGACCCACAATGTCAATACAGAGACATTGACAATCTTCTGACCCACAAGATTGAGAAATGCTGGTCTAGTGACTAGAGTCTCCTGAATTAAGCAGCCTAGATTCTACCCTGTCTTGACTACTAGCTGTATGAGCTTGAGGGATACCCCAAACCTCTATGACCTTGGTGTCTGCATACACTCCATGCACTGGTATTTCTATATCCTAGGGGGTGGAGTAGTTGGGTGAGTTATACTTCCTGAAATATTAGGCTATAGCTAAGGATCAAATAGGTTTCCAGAGTCTGTAGGCCATTAGAAAGTTCAGTGAGCCAGGCTCATGCCTGTAATCCCAGCACTTTGGGAGGCTGAGGCAGGCAGATCACGAGGTCAGGAGATCGAGACCATCCTGGCTAACACGGTGAAACCCTGTCTCTACTAAAAATACAAAAAAAATTAGCTGGGCATGGTGGCGGGTGCCTGTAGTCCCAGCTACTGGGGAGGCTGAGGCAGGAGAATGGCGTGAACCTGGGAGGCAGAGCTTGCAGTGAGCCGAGATCGTGCCACTGCACTCCAGCCTGGGCAACAGAGCGAGACTGTCTCAAAAAAAAAAAAAAGAAAAAGGAAAAAAAGAGAAAGTTCAGAGAATAGCCGGGCACAGTGGCTCATGCCCGTAATCCCAGCACTTTGGGAGGCTGAGGTGGGCGGATCATGAGGTCAGGAGATCGAGACCATCCTGGCTAACACGGTGAAAACCCATCTCTACTAAAAATGTATTAAAAACTAGCCAGGCATGGTGGTGGGCGCCTATAGTCCCAGCTACTCAGGAGGCTGAGGCAGGAGAATGGCATGAACCCAGGAGGCAGAGCTAGCAGTGAGCCAAGATCGTGCCACTGCACTCCAGCCTGGGGGACAGAGCAAGACTCTGTCTCAAAAAAAAAAAAAAAAAAAAAATAGCAGTTCAGAGAATAGAATTATTTCTTCTGGAGATTAAGATAGGTTTAGGACTGGTCTGAATAAGGCACCATGGGATTACGGTGACTAACTGTCCCTCTTTGCCTAGTACTGAAGAGTTTCCTGGGACATGAAATTGTCAGTGATGAAACTGGAAAAGTTCTAGGTTAAAAAGGGTTAATTGGTCACCTTGCATGGGAGAGTGGTTTTATCAGGTGGGAAGCTGGGACTGTTACATGCTAGCTTTGGGAAGCTGCTTGCTGTATGCACACCTTTGAGGAGTCAAGAAGAGAACAAGGGAGAGTTTCTTAGAAGGAGCTTTCCCATTATTTGCTTGTCAGGAAGGCAGGGAAGGGCCTCTCATTTCAATGACGTTGTAGGCAATAGAAGTTATTTGGGGTCACTGGAAAAAGGAAACCAAGGATATAAGAAACCCACCCAGTTTTTTCATGTCCTTCACATCTGCTCCTAATGCCCATGAATACCTTTTTTTAGGGGACTAGTTATCCAAGGGTTGGTAATTTTAGTACCTTTGAACCTTGATGATCCAAGGAGCAGGACCCAGGTGTTCCCAAATAAAGATGCCTTTGGGCACCGGGCCCAGAATGCCGCCATGAGTGGCCAGCTGCCCCTCTGCACCTTCCTCTTTTCTGCCTGAAGGGCCTTTGATTTCCCTGACTTGGCATTCTGTGCTGGGGCCTGCTTCCCACAGCTGCTATTCAGAGAGCAATCCTAGCGAGCATTCTTCTCCACGTGTTTTCCCCCCATAATGAGCTGGCTTGTATGTAAGCCATGGCATAAGTGGTTTTCATTTTCTGACTGATGCACCGGGAATGCCTTTGAAGTCAGAACACACTGCTTCCCAAAGAACTCTGGGATTCTTTGCCTCAGTTGTACTCAGAGGTCGTGTCTGGAAAAACCCAGCAAACCCCCACAGGAAGGAGTGTACATGGAGGCACTGAAGCCAGTGTGGATTGGCTGAGTATGAAGAGTCAAGGAAGCTCTAGAATTGAGAAAAAAGAGGCTTTGGGACACTTTGGGGCTGTTGTTATTCCAGAGGCCTTATGCTTCTGTACTCCCCCTAAATTTACATCCCCTTGGCTTGGAGCAGCGGCTGTGTGCTGGCAGAGCTACTTCAGACTGGTATTTAGCACCTGTTCCCTTGAAACAATGGCACTTAATAGTCTCTCAACTCTGCTTGCCTATTTGACTCTGGCACTAGGCACTAGGGAGACAAGAACAAATAAGAGATGTTTCTGACCTCAAGGCGTTTAGTTTTAATAGGGAGAGACAGAAAAGTAAAGCATCAAGTGAAAAATGAAGTGACAAGAACTCATTTACATGTCTGCACAGAGGACAGGGATGAAGTCAGGCTCCTTGAAGAGATACTTGAATTGAATCTTTATTGCCAAGAACTCTTTTCTTGTTCTCTACATGTTCCCTTTTTTGTTGCATCCAACTTTTGTTTCATGATGCAGTATCGTTTTATTTCTCATTTATCTCTCCAGGGCTATTATGGATATATTGTTTTCAAACTTTTCTTCTTGTTGTATAATATTTCTTCTAAATTGCTAGTTTTGGTCTTGGTCTTTCATATTAGACATTTCCTTTAAATGCCTGGTCATTCTTAGCTGCCTATTCACATTTTAAAGTGAGGCACTAAAAGATTCTATGTCAGCTGTGGCCTTCACAGTAGGGTGTTCTAACTGGGCTGTGTCCTTGTGGAAGCCCCAACTTTAGTATTTCTAGGTCTCTTATCTTGGATGGTCAGATTGCCGAGAGATCACACTTTTGATCTCCCACTCATGTCTGGGAGCTGAGTTGTGAAGAGGCCTAGACCATCTCAAAATTTAACATAGACTTCAGCTAATCCTCCTGTTGAAGTTCAGTATACCCCTATCCTCAGCTGAACCTTGTATCCCCTAGTCCATGGACCCTCTCTAACAGAATAAACCTCTCATCTAGTCTTCCACTACAATGGGAGGGGGATCTTGGGGCCTCACTGTTCTCAGACTTCCTTTTTTTTTTTTTTTTTTTTTTTTTTTGAGATGGAGTCTTGCTCTGTTGCCCAGGCTGGAGTGCAGTGGCGTGATCTCGGCTCACTGCAAGCTCCACCTCCCAGGTTCATGCCATTCTCCTGCCTCAGCCTCCCGAGTAGCTGGGACTACAGGCACCCGCCACCACGCCCAGTTAATTTATTTTTGTATTTTTAGTAGAGGCGGGGTTTCATCGTGTTAGCCAGGATGGTCTCAATCTCCTGACCTCGTGATCCGCCCGCCTGGGCCTCCCAAAGTGCTGGGATTACAGGCATGAGCCGCCATGCCCGGCCTGTTCTCAGACTTTCAATAGCTTATTTTGTGTTTAGCTCTACCTTCATCCCACTGCTACTTATTTCTCTTCGGGCTTCTGTGATATAAATCTGGCTGCTTCCTGGCTCACTCTAGTTTTGGTTTAGGACTCAAGTAGATGAGTTACTGTTTGCCTACCTGCTTTTCGGCTTCAGCTTCCATTCTTTTTGTTTTTCTCAATTTATACCTAAATGATAATCATTTTAGAACCTTTTTTTTCCTATTATTTTAGTGTGGCTGTCAGAGGGAGCAGAGCTAAATATGTGACTTCAGTGTTTAGTTTTTCAAAGTAAAGTGGAATGTTCTTTGCAGAACTGAGAATTTAGACTTTTCAGTTTTTCCCCATAGTTTGCATTTGCCTATCTATATATAGATAGAAGTATGTATATGTATATCTTTATGTATACATATCTATATATACATATATGTGTAGCTATATGTCTAAGACATAGATATATAGATATACATACATTTACATATGTATATGTACATAGATATATATATCTAAGTCCTATCTTGGCTTTCTCTAAGTCCTATCTTGACTATAAATATATATTTATAAATATATATTTAACATGTATATCTGTATCTATATACATTTCTAAGTCCTGTCTTGACTTTCCTATTTTTTCAATTGTTTTGGCATCACTTATTTAAGCTTCAGCTTCTAGGTACCTCAGTTTTCTCTTGAGCTGGAAGGCACTAATAAAGCTTCTCCAGTATTTACCCAGAAGAGAGATTCAGTGTCATTCAGTCATTTGGGCAACCACTTTGTAAAACTACCATTGTGTATATGACATATTTCTCCACTGTGAGAAGAAAACACAAAAGAAGTAGAGCTTAGCGTGAAGAATGTATAGTTTCTTAGGCAAAGTAGCGTTTTACTCTCTTTTAACAAGAAAGTTCTTTAAGTTTTTTAGGGGAAAGTAACATTGTAAATTGTTGATTTTTGTTACTTCATTTGTTGACTTGGTAGCGCTATTCTTTGACCCCTTTTTTATCTCATGTTTATTCATAACGTTTTCTCTTTATCATGCACCTTCATGAAATAGGAAATCACTTTAAAAAAGAAAAAAAGCACTCACTTTTGTAACTTCTCACTAAGCTTTTGAATCCCATGGTCAGATTCAGGTGAAAAAAGAGAAAAAAAAGAGGAGCCTCCTATCTACACTTCTTCAGCTGAGATAACAGATGCCTCTTTTCCACTTCTTAGTTAACCTGGAAAGCTGGGGGTCTGTTTGAATTACTTAGAAAGGCTTTTAAACGCCATTAGTTGTTAAGTATTTTTTCTTCTGTATAGAAAATATGAAGAGTATTATCCTGGTAAAATTTACGGGAAGTAGTGTTAGGTTCAGAATGAGGTGAAACTGATTTAAAACATTCTGCATTCAAAATGAGACATAATTTAGACTCTAATGTACTTTGATTTTGTCAGTGTCCCAGTATTCTTTATTCTTTCATCTGCCTCTAGCTGATCGTAGGGGCTAGATTAGTATACCCACAAAGTCTTTCTAAGCTAGATTTTCTCAGCGTCAGCACCATTGACATTTGGGCCAGATAATTAGTTGTTGTGGGGGCTGTCCTGTGCATGGGATGTTCAGCAGCATCCCTGACCTCTAACTACTAGATGCCAGTAGCAATCCCCAAGTTGTGACAATCAAAAATATTTCCAGACACTGCCACATTTCCCCTGGGGGCCAAAATAGCCCCAGGTTGAGACACTTCTCTAACTCAGGTTCATACATGGAACCAGTTTCTCTTTTCAGGAATATCTTGACCATATTTAACCTTTCCTCCCAACCAGTTCAGCTCCAGTCCTATCCAGAGGAGAGTCGGTGTTGCTTAATGGCTAAGAATGTGGTCTTTGGAGTCTGACAGACCTGGGTTTGAATCCTGATTCCACCATTTACTCATTGTATGACCTTGGGTATGATAGTTAATCTCTCTGAGCCTTATTTCCTTATCTTTAGAAATAGAAATAATAACAGTGTCTTTCACAGAGTTATTGTAAGAATTAAATGAGGTAATGTACGTAAAGCCCATGGTACACAATGTTTATTAAGTGGTAGATATTAATAATAATATTGTACCTTTGCACTCCTGTGTTACACACACACATGCACACACACACACACACACACACACATGCACACACACACCCAACTTCTACTCTCTAATTCTCCATCTCAAAGAAATCTTATGGCATCACACTTTCAGCACTCGTGAACTCCCTGTGTGGAAACAGAAAGTTCCCACAGAGTAGAGCAGGCACTAGGTGGCTGGAAGTAGTATGTTTAGTAGGATTGGAAACAAGCTTGAGTTCTAGGCTTCCTGGCCTCCCTGTTAAGAGAAAGGATTGGACTCCTAGATGGTTGCTTTGATGGAAAATCATCCTTCACCTTTTATACTACTTCCCTCCTGTGGCAATTCCAGTTATACTTGATATGGATTTTATTCCTTCCCAGACTCTTACCTGAATTGTTTTGAAGGCTTACAGTCTTCATAGGGTTGTTGTCTAGATTGTGGAATTGTCCTAAGGATGAAATGAGAAAATGTGTTGTGTGGTACTTGGCATAAAGCCAGGAATATACTAAGTGCTCAGTAAATGATAACTGGCATTGCAGTTGCTGTGAGAGGGTGTTTGATCTGGATAAAGCAGAACAGACAGATCCCCAGAATGCCAGGCCGGTAAAAGGAGCTTTTGGAAGCTTTTCCTCTTCCCTATTTTATATCTGAAAGGTAACAGAAAGCATAGGCTACTCCATAGGCTGCACTGCCCTCTTCGGGGTTCCTGACCAGCCCAGAAAGGCTTTGCCCTTGGGGCCTGAGAGTGGTGGTGTTGTTTCCCATCTACTCAGTATTATGAGGTGACTAAGTGATAGAAATCACCTGGCCAATATTAAAGAGAAATGATTACAAATGATAATGAATAGAAATAAATAATACATGATGGATAGACATTAAGTTATTTCAATAAGAGGAAATGTTGGCTCAGTTCACATATTGCTTTCCTGTGCTTTGGAGTGGTCTTTAATCTGTGTTTGCTGAACCAAACACTTCTGGATTTTTCCCTTAGGGGTGTGAGGATATTGCTTCATGGGGGAGAGCTCCAGCTGAGTCTGTTAGTCTGTAAAGCAGAGAAATGACCCCCTTGGCTTGACCTCTGGGGGTGGGGGTGGGCGATGTCTTGCAGGTGATGAAGACATATCACATGTACAATGCCGACAGCATCAGTGCTCAGAGCAAACTAAAGGAGGCGGAGAAGCAGGAGGAGAAGCAAATTGGTAAATCGGTAAAGCAGGAGGACCGGCAGACCCCACGCTCCCCTGACTCCACGGCCAACGTTCGCATTGAGGAGAAACATGTCCGGAGGAGCTCAGTGAAGAAGATTGAGAAGATGAAGGAGAAGGTATGTAGGCTCCCACAGCTGTAGATGCTGGGAAGCAACATTCGGTAAGGCATGGCTGATAGGAATTTCCCAGTAGTCACTGGGAAGAGCAGACGAGGAAGCTCTGGGTTCTTTTAGTGCCTAATGACTGAAAATGAGGCCTTGCTCTGTGCCCTGGCAGGAATACTAGGTATTGGAAGAACTGGGCACGTGGGATCCAAGTTTCTAGCCTCTAGCAGAAAACCAAGAAACAGCAGTCACCTTTCCCAATCCATTTTCCAAATAGAGCTCAATATCCTATTGCTTTGGAGGGGTTGGGGGTGACTGTAAACCCAGGATTTGGTTTCAGGTATCAGGTGTTCAGGGGCAAGAGTAGTGGTACCTCCTTCAGAGTGGCATTGCAAGAATGAAGAATGATATTTGAAGATAGAATCAAAGTGGGGCACGCATCTTAAGTAGGGAGCCTCATTAACCTTTCCTGAATTGATCTACATTGTGCCCTTGAATCTCATTAAACAGAATTAGAACCCAATTTAAGGCAGATGCGCATAGGGAGTAGCAACACAATTGTAGTTCTTGAATACACTGTACTTTTATCTTTTAGAGAACAAGCCCCCCTTAAAAAAAAAAAGGTAAAAGTGAACTTCTGTTTCCTTTTCAGCGTCAAGCCAAGTACACGGAGAATAAGCTGAAGGCCATCAAAGCCCGGAATGAGTACTTGCTGGCTTTGGAGGCAACCAATGCATCTGTCTTCAAGTACTACATCCATGACCTATCTGACCTTATTGATGTAAGTGCTTAAAGCCAAGGGCCTGAGGGCACCTCTTTTCTGGTTTCAGAATACTCGTCAGACATTCCCCGATACTATTGTTCAGGAATCTGGTGCATTTTGAGAACAATTAGGAAGATAGCAGCCATGATCCATCAGGGTGCTTGCCAAGCACCAAGTGAAACACTTCACACTTATTCAATCCTAACTGGAATTCTGGGAGGAAGGCATTATTATCTATATTTTTACAGATTAACAGAGAGTTTAGATGACTTAGTCAGAGTCAGTTAACAAATGACAGAGGCAAAATTTGCACCTAGGCCTGATGACTCAACCCAGGCTCATAACCACTACACTCGTCTATCTGCCAGGAAATACTTTCTTCCTTTTTTTTTTTTTTTTTTTTTTTTTTGAGATAGAGTCTTGCTCTGTCCCCCAGGCTGGAGTGCAGTGGTGCAATCTTGGCTCACTGCAACCTCCATCTCCCAGGTTCAAGCAATTGTCCTACCTCAGCCTCCCCAGTAACTGGGACTACAGGCATGCATCACCATGCCCAGCTAATTTTTGTATTTTTAGTAGAGATGGGGTTTCACCATGTTAGTGAAGCTGATCTGGAACTCCTCACCTCAGGTGACCTGACCTCAGGTGATCCACCTGCCTCGACTTCCCAAAGTGCTAGGATTACAGGTGTGGGCCCTGCACCCGACCTAGGAAATACTTTATTACATCAGCTTCTCTTGCACAGAAGTGAGTGGCAAGAACTTAACTAAAGAGTTACAATGCCATCCCTTATATTTGTATAGCATTTAAGGTTTCTCAGTGTTAACTCATTTGACTCTCACATCACCATTATGGGTAAGCATTGCTGTCTCCAGTTGCTAGATAAGGAAGCTCAAGGTCCAGAGGACTACGAGACTCACTTGTCCAAGGTTATGCTGCAAATTAGGGTCCTGTCAGGAAGGTATCCAGCTCCCCCTGACATCTGGCCCATTTTTTAAAATATGTGATGCAAAGGGGATTGAGGAAAGCGGCTAATAGGCACATGTGTTTTGCAAGGGGCAAGCGCAGGGATAAGCTTTTTGTTTTTTGCCTGTGAGTTATTCTTGGCCTTGTTTTTCCTGCTGCTTCCCCTTACAGTTGGGTCTTACAAGCCCTCTCACCTACAGACTCCAATCTGGCCCAGGTCCTGAGCCACACCTAAGTGAAGCTATGTAATTACACCCTTTCTCACCTCTCCTTCCAGTCATCAAAGTGAGGCATCTGGAGCCAGCCAATTTAGCATCCCAGTCTCTGGGGCTTCAAGTGTATCTCATCTCGGAGGCCTGCCATTTGTTTCAGGGTCTTGTTGGCAGCAGTTGGGCTTTGCAAAACTCTGGCCCGACCACTCTTGCTTTCCTGCCTTGGTTTCTCCACAAGCAAACCTGCCACACCTCACAACATCATATGGGATTTGGGTCCGAGTCTTGCTGTTATATCACCACCTGGGTCATCTAGGCTTGTCACTGAATTGTTCTGAAACCCAGCTTTGTTTCTCACCCACTCCCAAGCTCCTCTAGCTAACTGAAGAACTGGACTAATTCCCTGGTATTAAAATCTGGCCTCACGTAAGAGTTGCTTGGGGAACTTCTCTAAAATACAGATTCCTGTCTCCCTTTAGCCGAGGATTTTTGATTCAGTAGATTTCAGCCACTTAATGCCCTAGGTGTCATTGTCTCACTGGGTTAGTAGAGCCTTGCTCCCTGTTCTGGTACCTCTTTGTTCTCTCTGCTTATTGATGACAATCTGAACACTGTCCTTCAATGGAGGTCAGAGCCCTAAACAAGATCCTTTCTCCTCCTCAGGGGAAGAGCTCCTCATTGTTGGGAGAGAGGCCTGTTCTCAGCATAAGGAAGAGAATCCATTCTTTCTTATGCACAATTTCTGCTATTTATCTCGCATTTGGTAAAAATTCAGACTGTGCTGTCTGCCACACCACTGCTATTGGTTAGCCCTCTTCTCTTTTTTTGTACTCAAGGCAACTTCCCTACCTTTTTCACCGAAATACTGATCTCAGGGGAAGGGAGGGGTTACTGCTGTATCAGCCACAACCTTTGCAATCCATAGATTCTCCATCAGGTATAACCAAGTGTTTTAAAATCAGTCCAAGAAGTGAGGTATTTTGTACCTTATTTTCATCATTTAAAAAAAAAAAAACGTCTGCTAAGAGCCTAATTTCACAGGATGTGGTGTGACATGCCATTGAAAAAGAGGCTGCCTTAGTACTTGGCAGGGTGTGGGTCTAGATCACTGGGATCAAAAGGCTACATAGGTAGTAATAAAGTTTCTCATGTTTCTTTTTTTTTTTTTTTGAGAAGGAGTCTCTCTCTGTCGCCCAGGCTGGAGTACGGTGGTGCGATCTCGGCTCACTGCAAGCTCCGCCTCCCAGGTTCACGCCATTCTCCTGCCTCAGCCTCCCGAGTAGCTGGGACTACAGGCACCCGCCACCACGCCCAGCTAATTTTTTGTATTTTTTTAGTAGAGACAGGTTTTCACTGTGTTAGCCAGGATGGTCTCGATCTCCTGACCTCGTGATCCGCCTGCCTCAGCCTCGTTTCTTTGCTGCTGTTTTGGTTGTGTCTTGTTTTAGTTTGTTGGTTGGTTGGGTTTTTGTTGTTTTTCCTGGGATATGGACACATTCATTATTTTTTTTAAAGTTGTATTATTCTGCTCTATAAATGTTCAGTAAATATTTATTTAGGGAGAAGCCACGTGCTCAGTATTGGGGTAAAAATGGATTATAGTAGTTCTCACCCTAGAGGTAGTCATAGGCTGTAAGACAACATTTTTCAAACCATTGGTCAGATCCCTTAAGAAAGCCAGGAAATCACTTTTATTGGTTTAACCTGTGTTTTCAGATGACTAGATGAGACTAGAATAAGAAAGAAAATATTAGAGTACATCACATTGGTAAGATTATGTGAAACTTTTATGTTAGATATGTATGTACACACTTGTACATCCTATGGGGGAGTGTGTGACAATAGAAGATGTGTTTCTTATTGTGAGTTGGGAGTCAAAAAAGTGTTTGTGAGCCATTGTACTATGAACAGAGGAAGATCTCAGTCTCATCTGTTAAGTTCTGTGAGAGCAGGAACCAAGAGTTTTCTTTACCTTAGTAGCCTCCAGTGCTTAATATATAGCTGAGCACATAGTGTGTTTACTGAAGGAAGAAAGGAATAGAAAGAGGAGGAAGATGATCATCTAAGCTAAGATCGGTTTTTCTTTTTGTACCTTTCAATATGGTTTTGAAGTATAATTTACATACAGTAACTAAACTTAAGTGTTACAGTTTCAAGAGTTTTGACAAATTTGTACATCTTTGTAACCTATGTCAAGATATAGAATAAATATTTTGATAAGAGATATCTTTCCATTGCCTCAGAAAGTTTCTCTTGTCTCTTCCCAGCCAATCCCCCACCCCAAGGCAACCACTGTTATGATTTCTTTCACCATAAATTAGTTTTGCCCATTGTAGAACTTCACAAAGATGGGATTATCCTTTTTTGTGTCTGGCATCTTTTGTCAGCATGATGTTTTTGAATTTCATCCATGTTGTTTGCATGTATCGGTAGTGTCTTTCTTTTTCTTGCTGACCTATGAGATAAAAAGGGCCAAAAGGATGCAGTTAGAGCAGGACTAAGTGAGGAGCCTGGGATATTGGCATCCTGATCTTAACATTATTCATTACTTGCTTTAAGACATGGGATGAATCCTGTTGCAGTCCATTGCCATCTGTGTCATGTACAGCCTTCTGCCTCCTTCTTAGTGGTTCTGAAGCCAAATGTGTGCATAAGGCATTGAGGATAAGTGAAAAGAAGTTATTTTTGTTGATGCCATTACATTGACCAAGGACTAGCCTCCGACTTCTTTTTATAGTATAGTGCAAGATTTAAACTTCAGACTGTAGGAATCCACGTGAGGCATCTGCCACACTGGGGAAACCTTGACTTCAGGCCAAAAAGACGTTCTGAGCTCATTTGATGGCATCTAAGAACGTAGGCTCACTGGAATGTAATTTTCCTCCCCCATACTCTTCTGGCTCTCTCAACCCAGGAGCAGATGGATGAATGAAGAACAGGGCATTGTCCTCATGCATAGCTGGAGTGTTGTAAGTGCCGTGTACATGTATGGAAGGTCTGTGACACCATGTGCACCCAAGTCGGACATGAGGGAACTTGGCTGTTTCAGTAAGAAATGTCATTAAGGGCAGTTATTTTTCTCTTTTGTGTGAACTTGAAGTGGGTGTTGTGAAACACCCATTTTTCCTTTCCAGGCCTTGTGGAGTCTCTGGGTGAAGATATCAGCTGGGAAAGGGTTAATGAGCTATCAACTCAAGTCATCATACATCTGGATGGGCTGTCATTAACTTCTTACAAAAATTTGATTTCCCCTGAGAGATTTTTCATCAAACATTTATATAACCCAGAAATGGCCAGGGGAGTCCAGCGTGGCCACAGAACTCATCAGAAGCCATGGAAAGCCTGCTTTGTCCCCACTGTGAGCAAAATAATGTGCTTCCTGTACTTACTGGGATTCTTCTTGGAACAGGATGAAATATTCAAATCTCATTTACCTAACCTTGCCAGATATTGCTTCTTCGCTGAAGGCTCGGTTTCTGGCTGTTTCCCCTACAGGTATATAGATAGTCAAGACTCTGGAGAACCTCTTCCGAATCTGCCTGGTTGGCTAGAGGTGTAGAGGAGCCAGGGGCACATTGTGACTCAGACCCTCACTCATTGGCACAAAGAAGCTACAGAATAGTTATATAAACAGAGGCAGTGTGCCAGCCTGGGAAAACTCCCAGCCTCCCTTTGGCCATAGAGTAAGCAAAACAAATGGCTTCACTGGCCCCATCTACCCACTTGACTTAGGTCAGTATTCAGCCTAAATGTTTTATTTCCTGAGAGGCTGGAATCTGTATTTGTGGTATCAATCAGTCAACTGAAATTTATTAAATGCCTGCTGTGAGCAAGGCCTAATGCTGAGGGATGTAAAGAAGAGTGAGAAGCTAGTCTGGTTGGGGTGATATGACATGGCAAGTCATAGAATGAAGAAGCGTATTCCTTGTCATATGAAAGCTGTAGATTAGTGTGTTTCTAAGTAGAGGCCAGGGTCACTGGAGTCTAGGATTGCAGGGTTGGCTGGCTTCCCAGAGGCTAAGAATTTAATCTGGATCTTGAAGATCTGGTCCAATTCCAACAGGTGAGAGGCATAGGAAACATTTAAGGAAAAGGACATTCTGGGAGCTGAAGGGCAGAGGTCAGTGGATTTGGAGCTATATTAGTATTTTTTTAAAGTGTCTACATGGTACCAAATATCTGTAAATATATTGCCTGTTAGCCTACAACAAACTGTGTGGCTGGTGTTATCCTCATTTGAGGCCCAGAAGGATTAAGTAGCTTGCTTATGGCCATATAGCTGATTTGAAGACTAATACTCTACCCTAAACAGAGAGTATTTCATTGGATTAGAGCAGATGAATCTGAAGAAGAAAATAAAGGGAGTTGATGTTGGATGGGTAGATTGAAGACAGATTACAGTTTGTTCTGGCTATTGAACCTTGCTCAAATTATTTAACTTCACTGAACCTCAGCTTTCAAGCCTGGAAAATTAAGATTATACCAACCTCATTGGGGTTATTATGAGGATTAAAATGTAGAATGTATATAAAGCACTTAGCACATGGACTGACGTATAGTAAGCATACTTAGTGAAATAGAAGCATTTTTTAAATTTCAAAACTGAGGAAGGTGGATTTTACCTTGGGGAAAAAAAATGAGAGGTATTTTAGGTTCTTCAACAGGAAAGTGCCATAATTAAAGTCACAGTTTAGGACAGTGAAGCAGACGGTGAGGGTATGAATAGGGGTAGAGGTAGTAAGAATGGAGAGGAAAGGGAAATTACCAAAAACAGGTAAAAGTTTTTTGAAGGGTAACTTTTCTCTCCCAGATTCTACCCCCTGCCCACACCCCCTCCACCCACACTCATACACTCTGTGGGCCGTGTTACTTCTGTTCATTAGACTTATAGGCATAGAGCTCATCAACAGGGTCTACATAGAGCTAGTCAGGAAGGTTTACAGGTTCAAGGGCAGCCTGGTGAGACCAGCAGCATCTCCCAGAGAGCCCATGCCCGTGCAGAGTCCTAATGAGCCGCTTTTGTCTAGCTTCCATTTGCTCTTCCCTCCCAACTGAATTTAATGTCTTTCCATCCTCTGCCTCTAGTTAAGTTGTAACTGCTGTTATTCCACTGCAGCCAGGCAGCTGCCAGGGCCTGTTGGCACTGAACCCAGAGCCCAACCCAACTGATGTTCTCACTGAGCTTCTTGTCAGATGCCAGGAAAGAGGAGGCACATCATATGCCTTTTCTTCCCCAATAGTAGCTGCTTCCAATGTGATCATGATGAGAGGAAAAGGCTGTGGGGAGAGTTAATTTGATGCTTGCTTGTGCAATGAAATGGCAATCAGGCAGATGGCCTTACTCTATGCATAGATTCTTCTTTGAGGTTTCTTCTCAGGACCCGGACCTCAGAGCTGCTTAAGCAATAGAGAAGATGATGGATGGCCAAGGAATTGGGATCTCTGGGTCTTTTGGGAGGGATGGGGAATATTATCACAGAGTTACAGAATGCCATTGCTGAAGAGGGCCTTAGGGATTACATTTAGTCCAAGGATTTTCAGACTTTTCTCTAACAGAAGAATTCTTTCTTCAAACCAAACCTTACATAGAATCCCTAAATATTAAATAGAAAAAAGAGCAGGGTTGGCTTGGTTGAAGGAGGAATAGAAGACTCCAAGTCCTAGTAGTTGGGTTGTCCTTTTACTCACTTCTCAAGGGCAGCTTCAGTGCCAGCTCTGGTCTACTGCTTGAAAGCCACTAGCCTGGCCAAATCTGTTCATTTTACTATGGAAGAAACAGGTCCAGAGAAGGGGAGTGGCTTTTCCAAGGTTGCTTGATTCTGCGCCAGTGCTTTTTTTATACAGTTGCCTCTTTTTGCATTTTGTTGTAAAAAATCAGAATCCTTTACATGGCATGAATTTTTCCAGTAACACTTTTGCGTAGAGCTTTTTAGTCTTATAAATGCTATTTCTGTAGTGCAGGGGCATCTGTTGTCAGATGCCAGGAAGGAGGAGGCATGTCAGAAACCCTAGTCTGCAGCTAAGGCCTGTCCTAGGATGTTGGGCATTGGTGGGGATGATGACCCACAGAGTCAGCTCCCCATTCTCTCCTTCTCCCATCTAGAGTTGAGCTTGCATACATTAGCTGCTGTTGCAATACTCCTGCTTTCAGAACCCTGAAATGGCCTGGCTTGGTTGCTATATAGTGATTTAACCACAGTAACCCTCAGTGAGTGGCAGGTTGTATTTTTATTGTTGAATTTTGTTATAATGACAACCCCAGATAAACCTGAAAATGAAAGAGGATTCTCTTTAACTCTCAATTCTTCTCATGTTTATGAAGTAGCGCTTAATTAAATAATGTCATTTTATCCTTATGAATCTTCTTCCTCCTAACCGCCTCACAGCCCTCTAGGGTGTGTTTAACTGTTGAATTGGGAGTCAAGAACTGAGAACTCTCACCCAGACCTTGGAAGTCGGAATGTCAGCCCTCTTTCTACTGCACAGCCAAGCCTATTGATGTGGTCAGATCTGCCCTCTGGACCACCTTCCTTTTCTGCCAAGCCTTGGGGCTGTCCATGGTGTGCTCATGTGCCTTCTCCTTCCCACAGCAGTGTTGTGACTTAGGCTACCATGCAAGTCTGAACCGGGCTCTACGCACCTTCCTCTCTGCTGAGTTAAACCTGGAACAGTCGAAGCATGAGGGTCTGGATGCCATCGAGAATGCAGTAGAAAACCTGGATGCCACCAGTGACAAGCAGCGCCTCATGGAGATGTACAACAACGTCTTCTGCCCCCCTATGAAGTTTGAGTTTCAGCCCCACATGGGGGATATGGTGAGGCCCTTTCCCTATACCCCCACCCTCAAGGGGCTTGAGTGGACTTGTCTAGATTAATTACACAGAAGGCACATTATTCTGGGGTGGGAGAGGCCTGGGCCCGGCTTTTTGTCAGGTGGGTGAGGCACATTCCACTTATTGAGCAAACAGTTAGTGAGTGCCTGCTGTCAGACACTCGGGCTTGGGTGCAGACATGGGGGATTAAAGCCCTCAGGGAGCTTACAGTCTGGGGAATAAGGTCGCTAAGGCTTGAGGAGGGTTCAAACTATGCATAGAGAGGGGTATCCAAAGGGGCCCAGCAGGATCAAAGAAGGTGAAAAACAGCAGGTATATTCTAAAAACTACCAACAGTTCAGGATGGTGAAAGGAAAGTGAGGGAGGGGGGCGCTCCCAGTGGTGAGGCTAGAAGAAATGAGAGCTGAGGTGGGGCCACATCCTAGAGGCTTTAGTGGGGAAGCGAGGGCTAGGCAGGGAATGCTGTGATCTTTTGGCATTTGGCAGAGTTCTGAATAATCTTATTCTCCTGAAATTAGAAGACTGTGATGAAGTGTATAGTTTGGGTATTGAATAAAAAAGAATGGGTACCTGCAGGAAGGAAAGGAGCTAAGATGCTATCCCAAAGGCCTGATGCTGGTTGCCCAGACAGGGGAGCATGAACATGGGGGCCTTGTTTTGGACTCTTAGCCTCCAGTGACTAGAATAAAAAGGGCCTAAAAAAGCTAAAGTGAGAGGCAGGAGAAGCTCCTCGGTTTTCATTGTTCTGAATCTTTTGGTTCCACTTGTGTGGTTGTGTGTACAAGTCAGAGTGAACCTCATTCCTGTGGATAAGAGCCACCATTTCTCCTACTGGTGAAATTAGAAGGAGGTTGTATAGGGCTTATGCAATAGAAAAGATCAAGATGGACCTTTGGGTATAGTTGGCTTTAGGAGGAGGAATTTTACCAAGATACTGTTTTGCTGTCTCTGTACTACTTCCTGTGTGTTAACTCCATTCTCAGACAGGCCATTCTCCCATGGAGGCAAGGTGACTGCATTTCCAGCCTTCCCTGGTAGGTTGAAATCTAGTGGAAAGAGTCTCTGCCTCCCTCCTCAAAGCCCCCATAAAGTTTGTGTGTCTCATTGGTTTTGATTGGGTAAAGTGCTTATGCCTGGGTCCATGCAAAGCACGTGGCCTGAGTTGTGGAGTGGGAGGTTCCCCTCGCCGAGGGCAGTTAGACCAAAGCTACCAAAAAAAGGAGGAGTGGACGCCGGGGACCAAAAAACAGCAACATGTGTGCTCCTCAGGAATGATGCTTCCCTTAAGATTAGCATCCAGACTCTAGAAATCCCCACTCCAGAATGACAGCTGTGGCAGTGGAACCAGAGGATTTGCTGTCATCAGTTGGCCTCTATGGAGAGTGAGACGCTGTCCTGGAGATAGAAATGTGGAGTTGGTTTCCTTCCTTTCCTTCCTGGGGAAAATCAAACCATTTACAGTTCATTTCCATTGCTGTGGCTTAGGAAATGTCAGTGTCTGAACAGATGGAGAAGTGAGATGGCAGCATGTGCAATTAGAATTGGGGGAAGGGGTGTCACCAAGCCTCAGGAAGCCCCATTCCTCACCTGCCCTGGCTTCTGGTCAAACTTGCCTTCCAAGCACCTTCTCCAGCTGTCACTGAGGTTCCTTCCCAGGGATCAGTGGAACTTGGGGACCAGCTGAGTGGAGTGATACATTTTCTGGTGTTAGTGACTGAGTTGCCTTCTGAGCCAAACAGCTTGTCTCCATAAAGGAGGAATCCAGATGCTGGGTGCTCAAGCCCCCTCCTCCCCCTGTCAGAGCCTTATTTCCATACTCCAGAGTGCAGCTGAAGTGTATTACCTTGCACCCTGGTAGCGGACCACTGCCAAAGCATGCATCATCATCAGCTCTGCTACTTCTTAAAGGAACAGGCTTGGAGGTGGTTTTTCCCTCCATGATTCCTCTCTGCTAGGTCTGGGTTACTTTAAAAATCAATAGCTCACTCTTCTGCCAGGGCCCTCCCTTTATGTAATATAGCTGATCAGTGGCTGAGCCAGGCAGGGGCCAGGACCAGTCCTGGAGCTTGTGAAGGTTCCGCATTCTAGCCTAGCCTTCATATGAGTGAAAATAAAAAGAGATGAGAGGGTGGGTCATTCTTGGCCTCTGCAGCCAGTCTATCCCCATCAGTGTGGGTTGTCTGCAGATTGTGGAGGCAACAGGAGGGAGCTGCCTGGAAGTCGTTGAACTAGGGCCAAAGATTGGGTAGCATTTTGACCGGAAGCCTTAAAATTGGCCAGGGTCCCACACTAACTGGTGTTCTGGGGTGCACAGCACATGAATTGATGCCAAGTGCTCTCAGATGTACTAGGAGGAGGTGCTTGGCTCCATTTTTGGTGCCCTCAGAGGCTGTGGGACTCTGGATGCCTGACTGGTGACATCAGGCAGCCAGAGAATTTCACTCTTGGCGCTAACCGGTTCTGGCCACTGAGCTTTCTCCATTGTGTCTGCTTATCCAAGAGTTAGAGTGAAGTCAGCTCTCTGTGGATCTGAGAGTTGGCTCAGGCCAGCCTCTCAGCTGGGGGAAGAGGTCAAGTCAGTTGGGAGCTTAAAAGCCAATGGAGGAAAAGGTCAAGTCCCAGCCCCCTCCATTTGAAGAAAGGTTTTTTCTTTTCAAGCAAGGGAATGGTCCGTGGGCATGTGAATGTGCCCACTCTTTGCTGAGGAGGAAGGAGACCATTTCTATCCAGATGTCTCTCTGCAGACAAGAGGCTAAAGGACGAACGGTAACAAGGTGACAGGAGCTGTCTCCACATGGGTCCTGCCTCCCAACTCTCTCAGCCTTCTGCTCCTCATCTGTCATCCAGGGGACTGTGGATGACCTCATCCCATAACCACATCTCCAATGGGAGACAGTGGAACAGCCATTCCTTCACACAGGGGAAAGCTAATTGGCAATAATCCTTGCGGGAAGGTCAGACTCCTCTCTTACAGATCTAGGGAAGGCCTGGGGTAAAATGATGGCTCTTTGGAAAATGCCAAGCTCCTTCAGATTCCATACCCCCTCGGGCCCTCTAGCATAGGCAACGAACTTGTTCCTGGCTTCACGCTTTCTCATTGAATCAAAGCTCTCATGCATGGCCTGGATTTGTAAACACATGCTGGCTGCCAGCAGTGGCAAGTTAGCCTCCTGACCCACTTCTCTCCTGCTTTCACTCTGGTGTATGAAGGGGGATGAGGGAGGGGCCAGAGAGGTGGCCACTTGGACCTTTGGCAGGAAATCTTCACTGTGCCAAAGCATTGTGTTTCTGGAGCCGGAGCTGCCTGAGGCACTCTTCTCCAGCCTCCTCAGCCTTCCATGGAGCTGCAGACCCTACATAGACCTACCCCTGCCGGGCTCCAAACAGATCCCCCTACCCATTCCTTTCATGTACTGTTTGGTCCTGGAAGAGGCTCACACAAGTTGGCTTTGGGTTTTGCTTCAACATAGAAACCACGAGCCTTATACCTTGAATATGGGTAGTTTCATTGCCAGTAATGGGAACTCTGGAACTGCCAAAGGGACTGTATCCTCTTTCTGACCTGGTGTTGCTTTCTTTTGTTAGGCTTCCCAGCTCTGTGCCCAGCAGCCTGTCCAGAGTGAGCTGGTACAGAGATGCCAACAACTGCAGTCTCGCTTATCCACTCTAAAGATTGAAAACGAAGAGGTGAGTTTCTTCCTTAGGAGGCTCAAAGCCACACTCTTAGTTTCCCTGTTGAAACTTTTGCTGCTGCCCGTCTGGGAGCAGGTGGAAGGAGCATGCAGAGAATGTCCGGGCGGCCGCAAACATTTCCTAGCCAAATGTAGGCTTGGACTTTCCCCCTCTGCTACATCCTGCCCTTGAACTCCAGGAAGTTGCTCTTGCATTGCCAAAGGTTGTGCTCTATTTTGAGCTTTTGCGAAATGCTTTTTTTCCCCTCTACACATTTAATCAAAATGGCACTTGGCAGCTGTGTGAACAATATTGTGTCTCTGAAACCACCTCCTCATGCCTAGCTTTTTCCAGCATGTTCAAACAAACAGAGGCCTTTGACTTTGACACTTCAAACATCTCCATCCTCTTAGGAAAGGGTGAGTTTCTTCTGGGCTCAGTGTATTTGCTTTCAAAAAGCGGTTCAAAAGGGCGGGTGATCCAGCTTTCTGTTGAGCTCAGATGGCTTCTTACCTTGTGTCTCAGTAAGTCTTACTTTCTGCAGGAAGATCAGGAAGAAGTAGGGATAGGTCACTTAGTTTGCAAATGAGCAAACAAGTTCATCAGTTTGTTGAAGGTCATGAAACAGAACCTGGGGCTTTGCAGTACTAGGCCCATCACACATTTTAATTAGCTGTTTGTATGAGGGGGTTGGTTTAGATTTATTTTATTCTCTTTCCCTTAAAACTTCTATTATAATGTTGTTATATAATATTATAATAATGCTAATATTAAATTTTAAAAGTAAACATTAAAAGATCTGGGTCAAGTACATAGCATGAAGGGTTGTAGTGGCTTTTAGGTTTTCACTGTAGAGAGTAGCATGCTGTAGCAGAGTCCATGTGATGTTTACCTCCCACTTAGCACTGTCCAGTGGGAAGCAGAGCTGCACACTCTGATGGCATCCTGTGGCCTTCCCCAGCCCACTCTCTTCAAGCTTCTCCATCACCTGCTGTTTAACAACCCACCCTTCATGCATCCTGTTGGCCCTTGTCGTGGCAGGTAAAGAAGACAATGGAGGCCACCCTGCAAACCATCCAGGACATTGTGACTGTCGAGGACTTTGATGTGTCTGACTGCTTCCAGTACAGCAACTCCATGGAGTCCGTCAAGTCCACGGTCTCTGAAACCTTCATGAGCAAGCCCAGCATTGCTAAGAGGAGAGCCAACCAGCAAGAGACAGAGCAGTTTTATTTCACAGTAAGGGAGTGCTATGGCTTTTAAAGAGCGTCAGCATGCACTGCAGCACTCAAGGGAGATTTGGAACTCAGAGTCCTTGTTAAGTGTCTGAAGGACAGGCGTTGAATATCTTAGATACGAATGTGGGCATACTCAGAGACCATCCCTACACTTAAAGGTGCAAACATTAAAAGTTGTATATGTCTAACAGGGATCCGCCCAAGAGAAAGGATGCTCCCAAGTATACAACTAAGAAGATTTTCTTTTTTAAGAAATTTTTAACTAGCTAGTAGGCTTTCACTGGAAAGTTTCCTTCTCAGGCACAGGGGATCCTGAAAGGGGAACTTCATCTTTTAGTTCTTGGAGAGTACATACAAATATTCATAATAACACATATTTTGTTTATAAAAATCTATAATCTCTTCTAGGTGATATGATGACATTATTTTATAACTTTTATTGTTGGGAAACTATTTTTTCTAATTATTGCTAAAACTTAAAGGATGGGTAATATGCAGCATTACTATTTTGCACATAATTCCAAAACATCGTATTTTCTTATTCATGTATCTCTAGTCTTCTTTTAGACAGTTGGACCCTTTTTTCTTTTTCTTTTTTTTTTTTTTTTTAAGTATTGTTAACAATCCTTTGGAAGTCACTACTGGTCTTTGTGTGCTGCTTTTTAATAATTGAGTTATTTTGAGCTTGCCAAGTAGGATCTATTGCCTGGACTAAAATTTATTTCCTAATCTTCTGATGACCAAGAAAGGAAAAATTAAGTTTGCAGATGTGAGATGAAATATAGCCAGTGAATATGCATACTGATTCTGAATGAAAGGAATTAACTTTTCAGTCAAGAAACAGTCTGCATGCAGTAAATTGAATTTTTCCTGCAACTGGAATGATTTGTTTAATTCTTCTTTGAACACTGCCCTTTCTCCAGTAAGAACACTAATGATTTGCTAATATTTTTTAAAGAAATCTGTTTTTTTAATTAGTTAAGCTCAGACTTCCTCTTATTTTTTATCCTAGAGAAAACTGCTAAAAGGGAATGATATATCAGTACTATTCTTCTAAAACAACTTTTTAAAAATGATTATACAAAGCCAAATATGCTCATTATATAAAATTTAGAAGGAAAAAGAAGGAAATAAAAATTTTCCATAATTCTACCAGCTAGAGATAATGGTGTTAGAATATATTCCTTTCTAATCTGTTTTCTATGCATGCACAAACACATATGTGAGCACATATTTATAATTTTATTCTAAAAAATAGGATACTGCTGTACATATTGTTTTACAATCTAAGTCATATAATTATAATATTCTTTAAGCATATTTATGAGTAAAATATTAAAACCTATACAAAAAAATAATAGAATGGCATTTTAGCTCATTCATTGATTTTTGTAAAATATTTAACACACTCCCTGGTTTGTAGTTAGCGTTCAATAAATGCTAAAAATTTATCTTCACCATCATCATTAATTTATTTATTAATCATTATTAAATTATTCATTGATCATTTTTTGAGGATTTACTATTGCCAGACACTGTGCTACAAGCTGGGAATGCTGACAGTATAAGATAAAGAGGGAAATGATGGGGGATGGGTCATGTAAAGGGAGAACTTTCATTTTTACTTCATATATATCTAAGCAGTTATAATAGGTTGATTTTTGTAATTTAAAAAATGTAAAAATGCATACATGCACTAGTGCATGAATGGCAGCCAGGATGAGTGGAATTGGAGAAGCATCACACACACAGTGACTTTTGTGTTTGATCTTGAAGAATGAGCGAACCAGGCAGGGAGTCGGGGAGGAGAATCGCATTCCTTGAGGAAAGAGCAGCATGTGGGAAAACATAAATGCACGCAATAACCTGGCTCACATGTTAAGAGAACTTTCTGACTATAATGAGGGATGTGTTGCTGCCCCAAGCTTCATTATCTAAGGAGTTTGTTGAACACTCTCTAGAGGCTTTTAATAATAGGATTGTTTAGCTGGTCTGTCTGGACTGCTTAGATATAACACTATTTAAATGACCCAATCTCATTACATTGTGAAGATTTCCATTTTTTAGGTTACGTAAGAAATTTTGGACCTAAAAATCTTGCATTTTAAGACAGTCTTTGTCAGAATTACTTTTTGGCTCTAAATGAATTCTGTAACATTTGTTTTCTAAATTGACCTTTAGTAAAAGCAGGAATGGCCATATTCAAACTGGTAACCTCGCAAATCCTGCCCACCCTTTCACTTTCTGTCTCAATACATTGATGTCCTCTAACCCATTTCCTGTCTTATGTGGCTCTAGTGCCACTTATCAAAATTGTGTGCAAATTTCCTTGGCTAACAGTAACAGTTTTTGTCTGGGCTTGTCTAGCAGTGGAATTCTGCCTGAGTTCATCATTTTTGTGACTGGTACTTGAAGTGCATCAGATGATTAATTTCATGATAAGAGGGCTTTTTGGGGTGGTGAAATAGACATTTATGGAAAATGGGATACCCACATTAAGCAGGGTGACTACCTGTTTACCATACAACCCACACAAAGCCAATACAACTATAGATGTGCTTTCTTTAGTCTGTTGCCTCTGCAAACATTGCCCGTGTGTTTCTCTATGCCCTTCAAAAACATCAGAGCAGCACATCCTGGAAGATCCTATCTTTTGTAAGTTTAAGAAGCAGCCTCTTGTCACAGCTTGACTCCTAGGTAGTGTGCCTAGTGACCAAGAGGGCTGCTAAGAAAGCTTTCTGACCACTTGTGGCTGTCATTGGACTGATTTGCCCAGATGACATCAATTGGGAATTTGAGGCATGACCTATAAAGATCAGTTGCTTGCAAGAGTCTCAGGAAAATAATTGTGGAGTTAAGAAACTTGAAGCGATTTTTAAAAATTACCTAACCCAACCTTCTCATTTGAAAAATTAAAAAATAAATAGGCCAGATATGGCGGCTCATGCCTGTAATCCCAGCGCTGTGGGAGCCTGAAGCGGGTGGGTCTCTTGAGGCCAGGAGTTCAAGACCAGCCTGGACAACATGGTGAAACCCTGTCTCTACTAAAAACACAAAAATTAGCTGGGTGTGGTGGCAGGCGCCTGTAATCCCAGCTACTCAGGAGGCTAAGGTGGGAGGATTACTTGAACCGGGGAGGCATAGGTTGTAGTGAGCCAAGATCGTGTCACTGCACTCCAGCCTGGGTGACAGAGTAAGACTCTGCCTAAAAAAAAAAAAGAAAGATTAAAAAATAAATAAATCTGCTGGGCGTGGTGGCTCACGCCTGTAATCCCAGCACTTTGGGAGGCCGAGGCAGGCGGATCACCTGAGGTCGGGAGTTTGAGACCAGCCTGATCAACATGGAGAAACCTCGTCTCTACTAAAAACACAAAAAAATTAGCTGGGCGTGGTGGCGCATGCCTGTAATCCCAGCTACTCAGGAGGCTGAGGCAGGAGAATCACTTGAACCCGGGAAGCGGAGGTTGCAGTGAGCCGAGATCGTGCCATTGCACTCCAGCCTGGGGCAACAAGAGTGAAACTCCATCTCAATCGATCAATCAATCAATCAGTAAATCCAGAGAGGATGGGTAGCTCACAAAAGCTGGACCCACCACTCTGGTTACAGGGTCTCTGGCCACAGGCTGCTTCTCTACACCCTGTGGAAGAAGCAGAGGTGAAGGGAAGGGCTCAGGAACAGCTCAGCAATTTTTGCCTCTTATTTGCCCTCAGTGGTGACATGTTTCCTGATCTTCTTGGCTTTGTGTTTATCGCTTATCTTTTATAACACATAGTTCATCAATGTCTACTTTTTACCCGTTGCCTTTTTTATTGTGATTGTTAAAAATCAATACTTTTAAAAGATGCAAAGATTTGAAAAGGGTATACAGGAAAACGTACTATAAAGTTTCTTTTCATTCCTGACTCCTATTTCCCCTCCCCTCTGCTGGTGATTGAAACCAGTTTCTTCTGTGTCCTTCCAGAGATACTCTATGCATGGACAACAACTGACGTATCTGTAAATACCCTTTAATATGATAAATTACATTAGAAATGTAATGAAAGAAAATGGAAGTAGATATAGAAGTATTCCACTTATACAGTTCTTCACTTTTTTAACGTTCTTTATCTTGGATCTTATTTTTATGTTAGTCCCAAAAGATCTGCGTCCTTTTTAAATGGCTGGATAGAATTCCACTGTATGAATGTGCCATCATTTGTTTAACAAATTCCCTCCTCATAGGCAGTGATGCTCGCTGTTTAGCCAAGGTTTACCAAAGCTTTATAAGGCTGGCATTTTCCTAAGTATTTCCTTTGTTTTTTGGAAACCAAGCCTCGGCTCTTGTTGCCCAGGCTGGAGTGCAATGGTGCAATCTGGGCTCACTGCAACCTCCACCTCTCAGGTTCAAGCAGTTCTCCTGCCTCAGCCTCCCAAGTAGCTGGGATTGCAGGCACACGCCACCACGCCTGGCTAATTTTTTGTATTTTTAGTAGAGACGGGGTTTCACTATGTTGGCCAGGCTGGTCTCAAACTCCTGACCTCGTGATCCGCCCACCTTGGCCTCCCAAAGTGCTGGGATTACAGGCGTGAGCCACCATGCCCAGCCTAAGTATTTCCTTTTATAGGGAGTTGGAGAATTAGGTTCTTTTATGGGGGATAGAACAGTGAAGGGGTTAAGGATCATGGCCGATAAAGTAACAAAGCTAAACAGTCTGAATTCTTAGGGACAGGTTTGGGGAAGGTAATAGGAGAGGAGGCAATGCCTTGGCCACTGGGGCACTGAGTGACACTAGACTTGGAACTTGTGGTCTGAGATCTTTTTATCTTGGTATTCTCTTGCAGGCCCTTGGTAAACGTGTGCTAGTGAGTACAAATGAGTGAATGCCCCTGTGCTGTCAATTAAACTGGGGAGACATGCTCCATTTAAAGTTTACTCTATTATGTATTCTATCTGACAGCTGTTTCCTATTTTAAAAATTGACGGGGAGGAGGGGAAATGTCAGCATGCCTGCATGGTGGGGAAACAGCCACTATAGTGACATCTGTGTATCTCTGAGCATGGGCTGGGTAGGTGTACTCACTCCTCCTGCCTTGCTGCAGTGGATACTTAGGGTCTTGGGTTCACGCAGATTAAATCCAAGGCATAAGCAACATCCAGTGAGTTTTATACCCCCATGGTAAGAGTGTATTTAAAGGGAAGAGGTTTTTAAAAATGAAATTTGAAAAGCATTCTAGTGCCTCTTACTACTTTTTTAAGGCCCAAAACCTTCTGCTTTCATTCTGCTTTTATTTTAGCACAAAGCAAAGATGCTTAGGGAAGGGATGCTTTTAGGTTCACTGAGGAGGTGATTCAGGTATAAAGGAACACCTTTCTGAGTGCCTGCTCTATGCCAGGCCCTGTGCTATTAACAGTAATGCTTATTATCCAATTTCATTCTCACCAACTTTGTGAAAAAAATAGTATTCTCATTTTTCGGATGGAAAAACTAAGACTCAGGGGGTTAAATGATTTGCCCAAGGTTAGGAGAGTTAGTAAGTGGTAGGACTAGAATATTCCAACTCATGCTTTTTCATTTTAATGCAACTAAAACGTCTATCAAGGAGGGAATGTGCAGAAAGAAAAGTTATTATGTTAATACTTTTCAATAAACAAAACTCACTGCTGACAGTTAATATCCAATTAGGAATTATTAGGAAATCAATTAATGAGATCATAAAAACTGAATTGAAGTTTCACAATGGCACTAAACAAAATGCCCAATAGACTCTTTGCCTCCCTTCCTACTTTTTGAAGAAATTCTCAGTTTTGATTATTTTAAGTGTGAAAGTTGTTGGGGGTGGGCACTGGTCAGACTGTGTTTTAGGAACTTGATTTTATTTTGGTGAATACCTAGAATAAAATATTACCTGTTCTTTTGCTCCTTCATTGAGGAAAACCCCAGGTAGCCACTTTGATTTTGGGTGTTTGGTGAAGGAAGGAAAAAGAACTACCTAATATTGGAACATGCCCTAAGTAAGGAGAGTGATCCTCATTGCCCAAGGAAGGGATTTTGAGATTGGAGATTATAAGCAGCCCTTTTCCTGGCCCCCGTGATCTCCAGAAGTCATTAAAAGCCACCTATTCTTCCCTTGCATTCTTCAGCGGTCTCAGCTCCTTTCTCTGTGTTGTCTGTCCAACAGCAACAGAAACCTTCTAACTCACTTCCACCAATTAAAGACAAGGTCACTTATCCCCAACGAGTCTCTCATATGGATAAGTGCTGACTTGTGGGTGGGATAGGGGAGTGATAAATAAAATAACGTGCCTGCAGACTCTGAGATGCCTTTACCTTTCCATACCTGGCTTACCTGGATGGAAAACTCCCAACTGTGGTTTCCACGCCAGTATTAGGGATACAGTTCATACCTTGACACAGTTATGATCCTTCAGGATTTAATGAAACCCGAAGAGGTAATCCATCATACATCTTTACCAGATTGTTATTTATTTTAATGGTTCATCAAGTGATAGCCAGAGTTAACTAATGAATTGTGAACATGAATTTAAAAAATGATTTCTGGAATCACAAGTAGTGAGAGGAAGGAATTTGTATCCATCTCCTTTGAGAACTGTGGCTGTTTTCTGAGCAGTCTGGTCTTGTTTTGAAGGTTACAGCTTCTTGGTGAATTTTCCTCATTAGGAAACCTTTAGAGTCTCCTGGGATAACCTTCCAAAGAGAGAGGCTTTTGAGGCTTGCATTGTTGGCAATGGATATTTCCTGAAGGCTTTCCACCTCTGGGCCCTAAAGTACTGTTCCAAACCCACAATTAGGCATTGGTTGGGGATTTGGATATTACCCCGGGAAGAATGACAGCAGGTGAGCTGGCATCTGGAGCAGATGGAAAAGGGAAGGTGATAACAGAGCCTCTTTCCTTGCAGAAGTTCTTGTGCAAAAGCATAAAAGGACAGAGGGAACAGATCATGAATAAGGCAGTAGAAATGATTTGGTGTAAGATTTGGTTTTGGCTTGTTTTATTTTTAATTTAGAGAGTACGGGCACACTAGGGGCTTGGTTTGTAACTGCTGAGGAAGGGTCTACCCAGAGGAGAGTGAGACTGCTCATTCATTTATTCATCATGCATTTATTGAGTATCTGCTATCTGCTAGGCGTGGTAGTATCAGGGATGCAAAGGATAATGAATGACATGGTCTCTGACCATAGAGAGGAGGCAGTCTGAAGAAAAAGACACATGAGTAATAAACCCTCTGTGACAGGGCTGTATGAGAAGTGCTGTCATGGAGATTTGCATGGTACACACAGGACCATCTGGGTGAACATGGGAGGGCTAGGGACTGCATCCCAGAGAAAGCAGATTTTTCTTTTGTTTTTAAACAAGAGAGAGAATCAGATGCAAGCTCTTAGTTAAAAGTTCACACTGTACAGAAAAGTATAGAGTAAAAGTAACTCACATTTGTTCACTTTTCTTTTCTTTTTCTTTCTTTTTTTTTTTTTTTTGAGACAGAGTCTTGCTCTGTCGCTCAGGCTGGAGTGCAGTGGTGCAATCTTGGCTCGCTGCAAGCTCCGCCTCCCAGGTTCAAGCAATTCTCCCGCCTCAGCCTCTCGAGTAGCTGGGATTACAGGCACTCACCACCACCATGCCCGGCTAATTTTTGTATTTTTTTGTTAGAGATGGGGTTTCACCATGTTGGCCAGGCTGGTCTCAAACTCCTGTCCTCAAGTGATCCATCTGTCTCAGCCTCCAAAAGTGCTGGGATTATAGGCCTGAGCCACTGCACCTGGCTCTGTTCACCTTCTCTTTCTATCACTCTTAATCCTAAGTGGCAATCCATGAAATCAAAGGTTTGATGTATAATTATATGTTTTACTTAATATACATTAAAAGACAGACAGAACTATTACCATTTAAAATGGTGCATCCACCTATCTACCTCAGTGATCTCATATATCACCAGTAATTCACGGATCACACTTTGGGAAACCTGGCCATTTGACTTCTGAGTTCAGACTTAGGCAGATAGCCCCTGATCTGGAGGATGAACCACTGCAGCAGGAGGTGATCAAGGCAAACTAAGACCCCCAAGAAAGGCTGTGGAGGAGAGCGGAAAAGATACTGTGTTAAAAGTCCAAAGGCCTTAGATTGGGCCTGACACTACCACTTGCTAGCTTGCAATGATCAGCAATTTATTTGATACCTCCCCTCCCCTGAGATAATCTTATCTGTAATAAGGAAATAATATCTTCCCTATGTGCCATACAGTTATTTATTGTTAGAGTCGAATGAGAGAATATGCGGTGAAGTGCTCTAAAACCTGCTATGTTGCTGCATGCATAAAGCATTAATACTACAAAATTTAGTTCTGCTTCTCTCCTTCTCCTGCTCTGTACCATGATGGATGGGGCATTTTGTCGTAATGGTTAAGAGCACATGCTGTATTGTCAAACTGCCTGTATTTGGATACTAACTTTACCACTCACTAACTGTTTGACCTTGAGCAACTTAATTAAACTCTCGAAACCTCAGTGCTCTCATGTGTAAAATGGAAATGATGATGATGATGATAGTTCCTAGGGTTGTTTTGAAGATTCAGTGAATTGTCTGGGGACATACGGTCTCTCACTGGGCAGACGAGGGTTGAGAGAGAACAAATCTGAAAGTGCAGCACAGCAATCATATTTTGACTGTGAGAGCAGGTGGGATCACATTTCCAAAACTTCATCTTGTATTTAGACCTGGATGTGTGTATGCAAGTCGGGGATGTCAGCCCCTTCCGCTGAGTGCTCAGAAATCCGAAGCTTTCCATAAAGACTCCATGCAGAATAGAGAAGGAAGCTGTTGAGGAT
The DNA here is from genome assembly GCF_000001405.40 of Homo sapiens. Lineage (NCBI taxonomy): Eukaryota > Metazoa > Chordata > Mammalia > Primates > Hominidae > Homo > Homo sapiens. The sequence continues at coordinate 206,415,397 of NC_000001.11, forward strand.
ATGGCTCAAAGATGCTCCACATCCTGGGCTTGCAGCTGAGGCAGGGACTGAGCCTGCCATTGGCACTGCTCCTGGTGTGATGGAATGTCCCCCCCTCCTCCCACCGAGGGGCCAGGGCAGGGTGGGATGTCAGTGGAGGTGACAGATAGCAGGTGTGTGTCCTCACACCAAGAAGACCAGGGCTCAATAAGTTCATCTACCCTCCCTGCTCTTCCTCAGTGAAACTGCAGGAGAGGGGCTCTAGGAAACAATTTCTTTATACTGGCCATCATAGAACTCCCAGAAAAAACCTGGAGAAGGATATTAATCCACCATGAAAATCAACAGCTGCCCATATGATCAGTGCCTTAAAGAAATTAAAAAATTGACTGGTGGAAATTGGGTCAGAAACCAAATGACCTCTATATAGGGGAATTGTCCAGCTGAGCATCTGTGATTTTTTTCTTCTTCTTCAGGAGTCTGATTGCTCTTTTTCCTCCTCCTCTCTTACAGAAAATGAAAGAGTACCTGGAGGGCAGGAACCTCATCACCAAGTTACAAGCCAAGCATGACCTTCTGCAGAAAACCCTGGGAGAAAGTGAGTGTGGGAACCCTCTGCTAGAGGCTTGACAGTGAGGCCAGCTGGAGCTTTCTTGCTGAGCACACGCCTCCATCCTCAGCCAAGTGGACCCGATCTTGTTGTATGAATGCCTTTCTTTTCTTGGCTTGTTGGATGTGGAAGCACACACCCCAAATGACTGCTTGAGTAATGGGGAAAGGCCAATGCTTAATGAAGCACTAACGTGTATCATCTAGTTGTTTAAATGGAGCGTGCCTGCTCTCCACCCAGTCCCTCCACCCTCGCCTCCTCTGCCACGACTAGGGTAGAGAGGCTGAGGGGTTATTTATTCTCCAGACACTTTGTTAAAACTCCTAGCTCCTCTGAGGCAGCACTGAGACTGGAGCAAGAAGGTAGGGAGCTGTGAGATGAGATACGCAGCTGCTCTGAGAGGAGAGAATCCTCAAATGCAGGAGGGATGGACAGACTGCTGCTTTCTATAGCTTCCAGAAAGAGCATCAGTTTCCTTCTGCTTTGAAAGCTCCTAATGCTGTTTAAGTGGCAGCCCTCTCTCGTGTGGCTATGCTGAGGCCTTGGTGCTGAATGGACTGTCTTGTCTCATAGAATGATTTTAACCAGACCCTGGAAAGTAGCAAGGCAGAGAACTGGACCGGCACTCTGGACTTTCTCTCCTCAACTGTCAAACAGAAGGTGGAGGTTGAAAGAGAAGCTTCCCCAGGGTTTTTTGGCACCCTGCCCAGATTTCCTGCCCAACTCTCAGCATCCTATGATTAATGGGATTCCCAGGTTGGGGATGCCTCTGAATGCCGCCCCCCCCTCCCTGCCCCACTAATCTAATCTCCTCACTTAAAGATAGGAGGGAGTGGAAGGGAGAAGCTGCAGGGAATATGTGCTAACATCAGTTACAGGCAAGCCTGTACTTACACAGAGATCTGACATTTTAAAATAAATTCTTGAGCACTCTTTAGACAAACTGCAAAGTTTAGGAAAGTGTGCAATACTCCTTGGCTCATTGGCCCCAGGAATTGGAGCCTCACTTCTTATTATACCAGAACCTCCTACCCACCTTTTTTGCCCTGTCCTTTTCCTGCCTTGGATGATTTCCCAGATGATTAATTTTTTTCTCTAATCTTTTATCTAATGACTTCTTTTTTTTTTTTTTTTTTGAGATGGAGTCTTGCTATGTCACCCAGGCTGGAGTGGAGTGGTGCCATCTCGGCTCACTGCCAACTCCACCTCCTAGATTAAAGGGATTCTCCCACCTCAGCCTCCCCAGTAACTGGGATTACAGGCACGTGCCACCACGCCTGGGTAAGTTTTGTATTTTCAGTTGAGATGGGGTTTTGCCATGTTGGCCAGGCTGGTCTCAATCTCCTGACCTCAGGTGATCCACCCACCTCAGCTTCCCAAAGTGCTGGGATTACAAGCGTGAGCCACCATGCCTGGCTGATCTTATGACTTTTTTTTTTTTTTTTTTTTTGAGATGGAGTCTTGCTCTGTCACCCAGGCTGGAGTGCAGTGGTGTGATCTTGGCTTATTGCAAACTCCACCTCCCAGGTTAAAGCAATTCTACCACCTCAGCCTCCTGAATAGCTGGGATTACAGGTGCCCACCACCATGCCTGGCTAATTTTTTTGTATTCTTAGTAGGGACGAGGTTTCACCATCTGGGCCAGGCTGGTCTCAAACTCCTGACCTCAGGTGATCTGCCGGCCTCGGCCTCCCAAAGTGCTGGGATTACAGGTGTGAGCCACCGGGCCCAGCACAATCTTATGGCTTTTAAGACATTTTCTTTTATGTGAAGAAAGCTGGTTAGATAATTTCTATTCTTCTTCCTCACCACCGAAAGGACTCAGACTAAACAAGTTTGGGCATTGAGGGCCAAACTTTGCTTATAGAAAATCTTTACTCTTGGGTTATCACATCACTCCATGGAGAATCAAGACAGTCTAAGCATAGTCCATAAGTAAGACAGAGAGCAGGGCCTTGGGGCCATACAAATGCATTCATATGCGCTCACATTTGTGTGTGTGAGTGAATGGGTTTACTCACACATTTATGCACCAAATGTGCTACTATGGAGGGATGAAGGCTGATCATTAGTGCTGCAAATTGTCTTAATCTAAAGATGACAAGTTCTAGCAATAAAGAAAAAAAAAAGCTATAAATCTTTCTGTGTGCAAGTCATCACGTCCCTGCCTTCTGAATGTTTTTGTCACCATGATGCAGGAGCCCCTTGTTCTTGCCGTAGAGGGATAATTGATGTGTATGAATATTCCAGAATGGAAATGGAACAGATGTAGAAAATAATGGCTCAGAATAATATTTTTGCACATAAGAGCTGAGCCTTTGGTAACGAGAGACAGTTAGGGGTAGGGGATGGCGTTGCTCAAGATGAGCTGAACTGTAAGCAACAATTACCAACCTTTAAAGGCAAGAAAATGCCCTGCCCTCCCTCCGCCAGCCCTTGGAGTTGCCTTTGCAAGAGCTTGGATAGGGAGGAGTGTGGGAGCTGATTTTTACTTCCCCCAGCTCAGCACCTGCTAGGGTTTGCCCCTGGTTTAAATAATGCAGATCTAAAACAGATTGAGCTTCATTAACTGTGGTCCTAAAGAAAGCAATATATATTACATCATTTCCCATGTAGACATGCATATATATTTTTTTAAAACATGAGAATACTTCTCATGAACTTGAAGATTTTCAGTTTCATTTTTTTAAAAGCTAGCAATGACCCATTAAACTCCTAAGGCCCACTGTTAGATTGAGAACCATGATTTGCTAGCAGTATCAACATTGTATCTCCCATCTCCCTTGCCACCTCAGTCAAACCTAACAGGAGAATTTACTATGAATCTAAAGCTAGAATATCCATATCTTCTCTGTTCTCTCCCGCAAACAACTCCTCTTGTTCTCTCAGCCTCCAACTCTCTCTGTGTGTGTGTGTGTGTGTGTGTGTGTGTGTGTGTGTGTGTGTGTGTGTATACTCAGGAGCAAGTAAACTTGGCCTTCCACCCCACCACACACACATCCAACATAAGAGAAGCTGAATTTCATCTCTGGGAGGGCTTCTAATAATTTATTCTATTAAGTATGATCTGTGCTGCTATTGTTCCACTACCTCCATCTCTATGTTCCCATTGGGAAGCAGAATTGGCCCTAAGGTTTAGGGGGACTGACCTGGACTGGGAATCAGCATCAGAAACAGTTTTTGCCCAGAAAGAGGGTCTTGGTGCTTTCTTTTCTTTCTCTCTGTCTCTGTCTCTCTCTGTCTCTCTCTCTCTCTCCTCTCTTTTGCCACACACTGTTATACTGTGGCTGTCTAGGGGAGATAGGCATGGTAGTTACTAGGAGTGGGTCTCCCTCCTTCACCTCTTCTCCTTTAACATAATGCTTTTTGCCTTTGTGTTTCCAACAGGTCAGCGGACAGATTGCAGTCTAGCCAGGTGAGTGTGGCCTGGGACAGGCCTGGGAAGTGATAGAGGCTTGGTGGGTAGAGCAATCTTACTCTGGGAGAGAGCCAAGGAGTTGAGTTGTAAAGGCATTGAATGACTTTACAAAGCAATGGCCTGGGGCGGGGTTTGTTTACTTCCCTTTGCCTTACTGACCCCATCTGATCTCAGATAGAAATGGGGTTTTCTGGGACTTTGAGAAGGAGCTAAGCAGAACTGAGTAAAAGGGGTTATCATTTGCTGAAATTGTCCCAGAGACCCCCTAACGCCACTGAATTGCAAGTAACATAAACATTCAACTGTAGAGGATTCTGGTAACCTAACCTTAGCTGCTAGACTTCAACATAGGGGCTCTGGGGAGTCTCTGACCCAGAGAAAGAAGATCAGGAGATGGCATTTGATTTTTTTTTTTTTTTAATGCCCAGAAAAGAAGGCAGCCCCTAATTAGTAGTGACTGTTGCTGGATAATGAAATATTACATTGCATTGGCTCGCCAAAGAGTATTGGTAGAAATATTTGCCTGATGTACAAGTATGCACCCCTCCCAATCTTTCCCCACCTTCCCCTTCCTCCTCCACCCCAGCCAAATATTTTCCCTCTCAGTCATGGTGCTGCTATGAGAAAATTTGTGAGCTGTCGGAGAGCAAGGTATTCATTCATCCAGCAGTTCTCAGATGCCTAGAAATGTGCTGATTTAACTAGAGAAGGGGCTTTAATGGGTTGGACTCCTTAGAGACCCTGGGTTAGCCCATTATATCAACCACTTATATCTGCCAAAACACATAATAATTATGAGGCCATTTACAATTATAGGTTCATTATTTAGAGATAGCTTCATTTGGCTTTCATTGTTTTGTCATTGTGAATTACAATAAAGATCCCATTAATATACCAGTCTTGATGACTGGAGGGAACCAGGATAATGGGATTCTCTGGAACACATCTTTTTGGTGTTAGAGTCTTACTGTAAGTTCACCTGAGCTCCTGAGTCTGTGGAAGGCTCTGTAGGACTGAAAAGAGCTGAGTTGAATTTCCCGGTGCTGAGTTATTTTGCTGTGAGACCTTAGGCCGCTCTTTTCCCCTCTCTGAACTCTGGTTTCCTCTTATAGAAGACCAGAGCACTCCACTAGATTCAAGGTGTCGTAGGATTCCAAAGGGGTTCCTCAGGAGTGGCCTGGTGGCAGGGGCAGAGCGATGACCAGCAACCAGGCTCTGGTCCCATCCTTCACTCAGAGCAGGACAGCCCTGGCCTCCTTGGTTTGGGTGTTATGCCTCTGAGTCAGATTCCCTTTGAGAAGAGGCTTCTGAGGCTAAACACAGATTGGAAAACATTGACCTAGAGGATTCTCAAGGTTGTTTCCAAACTAGATGTTCTACACTCTAAACCCAGAAAAATTGTTCCCTGTAAAGATAGCGATCTTTAAGGATTTCCTAGAGAAACAAAACAAAAAGCATCCTTTGGTGTTTCCCAGTGTCTCCTAGCAGGCAAAAAAATCTTCTTATTGTCTAGCCCAAAAATATTTTACTAAAAATTGAACCAGTCCTCTCCTATTCTAATTTTGAGTAGTGGTAGACATTAAAAGCAGGGACGTCTGTGCTTTTGTGAAAAAAAAGAGCTTTCGTAGGCTTTATTGTGGAAGTAATTTATCAAGTTTCTTAGCCATTTCTGGGACTGAACTGAGTAATGTCACATGTTTCATTGGCTACCACACAGATTTTTTTTAATTATTAAAAACTTTACTTCTGGGTTTAAGAGTGATTGTTTATCTCATTCGTCCCAATTTTCTCTTTTTCTCCCTTGTTGCTGGATTGGTCCAATCTGATTCGGCGGGATTGGTCACAGGCGCAGCTCAACTGTGAGGAAACAGGTAAGGGCCCAAGCGGGGCCAGGCTGGTCTGGCCTGAAAATATAGTCCATCCCACAGGCATTTATTGAGCGCCACTGTGTGCAGGACAGACACCTCTGACTTCATGCCTGCATTTGGAATGTATCATTTAGTCATAGTATGTTTAATATGGTGGCAATGTCATTGATTTAACTAGTTGGAGTGGCCATAGTCTTTTTGACTTGTCCCTCTCCTTTCTAGTCATTTATCCTCTTGCATACTAGGGGTTTGGTTTCATTGGTGCAGATTGTTCCAGAACTGCCCATGGCATCCTTTTCCAAGACCACAAAAGAGGCTTGACACTTCCTACATTTGTGCTAACATATCAGTAACTCACAGCACCTAATTAGCTAGACCAGACAATCTCGCTTTAAGTTGGCAGATTTTGTTTGATTGTTTCCGGTGGCGTAGTCATTCTAGATGGACTCCTAAGACATGCTAACAATGAGAAGATTAAGTCTGGTCTAGGAACGATAGGCAAGGGCCGTTCAACTCTGCAATTTGGTGCATGATCTTCAGTGTTGTGTTAAAATCTGCCACTGGGCAGCCAGCTCTCATTACCCATATTAGGAGGGCTCTTAGAGAGCAGTGGCATGGATAATCCACATCAATGGATAATCTAAACAGCACTTGTGCTTGTTTAAAAAAAATTAATTGAAGTATTTTTTGCAGTAGCAAAATTGACTTCCTAATTATACTTTATGGCAAATACTGAAATGATTTTATGTCCCCTAAGCTCATACCAGCTATGCAGTAGACAGCAGGGAGGGCGGGTGGAGAGAGCTCAGAAATGTCTTTGTGTCTGCTCAGGGGAAAGCTAATCCAGGCTTTAAAAAATCATTTTGGGTAATTCTCAGTGGCTCTAGCCACAGGGAGATAATCGAATAAAGAGGGCGCATGGTTTTTATGGTGTCGGCAGCACCGGCATTTCTTCAGCTCATCTGACTGCTCTGACAGGGTGGACCATTAAGCTGGGGAACTTGGATGATACAGGCCTCGCTTGTCTCAGCTTTGCTGTCACTATTTTCCCCTTCTCTACTTTGAATCTCGTCTTAATGAGTATGCCATCAGATGCAATTACACATTTTTTAAATTATAAAAATTTAATTGCAAGTCTCCTCCCTCTTTTTCCTCTATTTCTTTCTTCCTCCTCTTTCTTCCATAATTTCATTTAAAACTAGAGAGGAATGGAGTGACTCCTAGAGATAATTTAGTGCATTTAAAATTAATAGGTGCATATCTTGCAGAGGGAGCAAGCCATTTTCCCTTTAACACTAAGAAAAGAAATGAGCTTGAAGTTTGTTCTTTTCAGTTCCTTGGCTGAAACCAGGCATCTTGCTTATAGCTGGAGCATGTTTGCAAGGGGTTTGCAGCTCCACTGTGGCTGCAGGAGTGCCAGAGACATCAGTTTGGCAGGTGATATGTGCCCTTGGTTGGGCTCACTGTTGGAGGGGAACAGCACCCATCTGGTTTGCATCCTGCTGCACATAAGCAGTTGCAGGCAAAGTGTGTTTGCCTGGTGCTAGATTTGCGTAGGAGTTACAAGATATACCAAAATCCCCAATCCAATAAAGACCTTGTTTTCATTCTGCTGCCCCAGTTTCTCTCTAGCAGTTCATATCTACTAGTGGATCAGCAAGAAGTTTTCCTAAGATGGTCAGGAAGATAAAATAGATAGTAAGTTACTTGGAAGGTGAGTAATCTTATATAAGTAACAAGGAAATAATTGTTTGTTTATGGCAAATCAGGCAAACAAGAGGAAGAAGCTAGTAGTTTTTGTTTTTGAGGGTCTTTAATGGGTTCCGGTCATTTTTGACCCTGTCAAAGACTAGGTTTAAACCATCCCAGACCTTTTTTAAAAAGGAGACAGTCTCACTGCTGCTTCCAGACCTTCCCTGCTCCCTGTAACCTCAGCATTATTTCTCTCCTGGCCATGACTTCATATCTTCTTTGTTGGCCTTTCTCCATTCCTCTAAATTGAAGCATTTCTCCAGGGCTCTGTCCTCTCACGATGTCTCTCTATATTCTTTCCTTTGTCACTCTTGTTCCCTTAGATGAATCTTTCTCTTCTTCCCTAAGCATTCTTTTGTTCTATAATGCTGTCCTTTTGAGTCCAATGAGTAATTCCTCAGTGATCGACTAGACATTCATACTTGAAAGTTGTGATAGCACCTTCTACCTTCAGCATCAGTCTCACCGTCCCCCATCACATTTTGATTTGCGTAGCCCCTCCCTTCACTTCTCTGTTTGTGTTCGGGGGGACTCCATTCTTCACAGTCTCTGAGGCCCCAAATCTTACCTTTGATGCTTTTTTCATCATTACTCACATATAATCTGTTGTCAAGATTTGTATTTTCTCCCTTGGTAAAAATGAAAATTAACAAATGTAGTACAAATAAGTACCTAACAAAAACTCTAACCCTCTTACTCATGTGAAATTATGCCAGATAATGCATATTCACAGATTTTCTGGCCACCTTTCTGATTTTTTTTTTTTCTTTTTTGAGACAGGGTCTGGCTGTGCCAGGCTGGAGTGCAGTGGCACAATCTTGGCTCCCTGTAACCTCCACCTCCTAGGCTCAAGCAGTGCACCCACCATAGCCTCCTGAGTAGCTGGGACTACAGGTGCACACCACCACGCCTGGCTAATTTATGTATTTTTTTTTTTTTTTTTTTTTTTTATAGAGACTGAGTTTCACCATGTTGCGCAGGCTGGTCTCGAATTCCTGAGCTCAAGTGATCCACCTGCCTCGGCCTCCCAAAGTGCTGGGATTATAGGCGTGAGCCACCACGCCCGGCCCTTTCTGATTGTTTTCTCCTGCAAATTACTGGACCACTGCTTTACTATGTTTTCCAACTTAGGCCCTACCTTTCTCCCTCTACTTTTGGTTTAAAGTTCCCTTAATCTGATTGGATGAGAATTTGGCCTGATTCCTTAAAGGCCCCTTCTAACCCTAAGATTTCATTACCAAAAAATAAAAAAGTGTATGAAGGAATTAAGCTGACAAGGATTTCTAACATTGGAGGAGGGAAGAAGACAGAGAGAAAGGAAGAGACGAATAGTACATAAAAATGTAGACACTGCTCAGTCAGTGCTCACGCCTTTAGTCCCAGCACTTTGGGAGGCCCAGATGGGCGGATCACCTGAGGTCAGGAGTTCGAGACCAGCCTGGCCAACATGGTAAAACCCCGTCTCTACCAAAAACAGAAAAATTAGCCAGCCATGGTAGTGGGCACCTGTAATCCCAGCTACTCATGAGTCTGAGGCAGGAGAATCACTTGAACCTGGGAAGCGGAGGTTCCAGTGAGCCGAGATCATGCCATTGTACTCCAGCCTGGGTGACAAGAGAGAGACTCTGTCCCAAAATAAATTAAGATAAAATAAAATAAACTCAGTTAACTCTATGCAAGGGCAGTGGTGAAGTGCAGGTCTTCGTGGCACCACAGGAGTGCACAGACACATCCCAGGGAAATTAATTTACTCATTGCTCAGAAACATTATAAGGAGAGAGGAGGATGGCAGGAGCGTTCAAAGCCTTTGTGACTTTGTCCATTTTGTGCTCCTACTGGACTCTTAGACTCCACTGGAGCAGTGGGGACTAGAAAAATGCCTGTGCAGTAGGACAGGTCATCTTTAGCCCACCCTTACCTGCCACAGGTTATCCATTGGGGGCTGCATGTGAGTGCTGCTGGTAACCACGGACATGCAGGTTAATATTTTTCTTGCCCTGTTTCCTGCCAACCCTTTGTACTTGCCTTTAACTACCACTGATATTCCATTTCCTGCAGGCCAAATTTTGTACTCACACAATTTGTTGAAGCCAGTAGCCTGTAAGCTTTCCAGCTTTCCTCTCTCTAGGTCATAATATATAAACCTAGGACCAACAAAACTATGCAAACGCTCATATCACTAACTTCATTATCACTGCTGCTACTATTTTTTAATAATTTATATTAATACACAATAATTGTACACACTTATGGGGTACATGTAATATTTTGATACATGCATACAATTTGTAATAACCAAATCAGGTTAATTAGGGTATCTGTCATCTCACATATGTATCATTTTTTGGTGTGTATGTATTGGGAACATTCCAAATCTTCTATCTGTTTTGAAATATCCAATAAATTATTATTAACTATTATTATCCTACTGTGCTATCAAACATTAGAACTTATTTCTTCTATCTAACTGTATTTTTATACCCATTAACTAACCTCACTTTTTTTTTGTTTTGTTTTGTTTTGTTTTTTGAGACAGGGTCTCGTTCTGTTGCGCAGGCTGGACTGCAGTGGTGTGATCTCAGCTCACTGCAACCTCTGCCTCCTCAATTCAAGCAGTTCTCATGCCTCGACCTCCCAAGTAGCTGGGATTACAGGCGCGCACCACAACGCCTGGCTTATTTTTGTATTTTTAGTAGAGACAGAGTTTCGCCATGTTGGCCAGGCTGGTCTCGAACTCCTGACCTCAGGTGATCTGCCTGCCTCAGCCTCCCAAAGTGCTGGGATTACAGGCGTGAGCCACTGCACCCTGCCCAACCTCACTTCTTTTTTTTTTTTTTTTTGAGATGGAGTTTCACTCTTGTCGCCCAGGCTGGGGTGCAATGGTGCAATCTTGCCTCACTGCAACCTCCACCTCCTGGATTGAAGCAATTCTCCTGCCTCAGCCTCCCGAGTAGCTGGGATTACAGGCATCTGCTGCCATGCCCAGCTAATTTTTGTATTTTTAGTAGAGACAAAGTTTTACCATGTTGGCCAGGCTAGTCTTGAACTCCTGACCTCAGGTGAGCCACCTCACCTGGCCCAACCTCACTTCTTGACCCCTCACTCCCCGCTACCCTTCCCAGTCTCCAGAAACCGTCATTCTACTCTCTGCCTTCATGCAATCAAATTTTTTAGCTTATAGATACAAGTGAGAATATGCAGTATTTATCTTTCTGTGCCTGGCTAATTTTACTTAACACAGTGTCCTCCAGTTCCATCTATATTGCTGCAAGTGACAGAATTTTATTCTTTTTTATGGCTGAATAATATTTCATTGTGTATATATACCACATTTTACCCATTCATCTATTGATGGACACTTAGGTTGCTTCCATATCTCAGCTATTGTGAATAATGCAGCAATAAACCTGAGAGTGCAGTTACACTGATACTTCAATATACTGATTTCTTTTCTTTTGGATCTATAGCCAGCAGTGGGCCTGCTGGATCATATGGTAGATCTACTTTTAGTTTCTTGAGGAGCTTCCATACTGTTTTTTTGCGGTAGCTGTTCTAATTTATATTCCTGCCAGCAGTGTACAAGCATTCCCCTTTCTCTGCATCCTTGCCAGCATTTGTTATTTTTTGGCTTTTTGATAATTGCCATTTTAATTGTGGTGAGATTATTTAAAAATTTGCATTTCTTATGATTAGTGACATTGAGCATTTTTTCACATACCTGTTGGCCATTTGTATGTCTTCTTTTGAGAATGCCTATTCAAATCATTTGCCCATTTTTTAATCAGATAGTTTGGTTTTTTGCTATTGAGTTGTTTGAGTTCCTTATATATTCTAGTTATTAATCCCTTATCAGGTGGATAGTTTGCAGATATCTTCTCCCATTCTTTAGGTTGTCTCTTCACTCTGTTGATCGTTTCCTTTGCTCTGCAAAAGCTTTGTAGCTTGAGATAATCCCATTTGTCTGTTTTTGCTTTTGTTGCCTATGCTTTTGAGGTCTTACTCAAAAAATCTTTGCCCAGACCAGTACCCTTGAAGCATTGCCCCAATGGTTTTTTTTTTAGTCATTTCATAGTTCAGGTCTTACATTGAAGTCTTTAATCCATTTTGATTTGTTTTTCTATATGGTGAGAGATAGGATCTAGTTTCATTCTTCTGCTGCTATTATTTGTAAATGAGAAATGTAATAACAGAAGTCTGTAAACATAAAAAGACTCCCCCCAGATTGAGCTTTTCTGGCATTTTCATAGTGGAACCCAGTTTCTTCCTTAGAATAGGGAAGAGAAGACAAAGATTCTTCCCCTGAGATCACCCTAGCCTAACCAGCCAGTCAGTGATGCCGACAAGAGGACAGACACTGGCTGCTGTAGCTGGAAAGCTGGAGGAAGCAGATGGGTTTGGGGGTCATGAAGATGAGCATTTGGGTCGCTGCGACCGTCCTGACACCAGCTCCAACTTGGCACATACAGTACTCCCTTTGGCATCATCCCTGGTTCCCAGAAAGCTTGAGAGGTAGAGGCTAAGCCAGCTTTTCTCTCAGCCTGACTTTTTTGTGAGACCCAGCTGCTTGCCTAATAGTGGCCAAACCCTATGGCTACAGTGGCAAATTCAGAGCCAGGGGGGGGATCCACGCAGACCTGTCAAACGGGCAGAAGCTACACAGACCCATCGCACTTGACAGTCTGGTCTCTGTCCTGAACATCTAAAGCCCTTTCTAGTTAAGTTCGGTCCCCTCTCCCTGATCTCTTTCTTCCACACAGCTGAATTATTGTACATTCAGCTGCATTATAAAACCCTACTGGTTTAGGCCAGGCACGATGGTTCATACCTGTAATCCCAGTGCTTTGGGAGGCTAAGGCAGGAGGATTACTTGAGGCTAGGAGTTTGAGACCAGCCTGGGCAACATAGCAAGACCCTCTATGTAAAATAAAAACGTGCTGGGTGTGGTCTGGGTACCTGTAGTTCCAGCTACTCAGGAGGCTGAGGCAGGAGGATCACTTGAGACTATTTGCTCAAGGTTACATTGAGCTATGATCGCACCACTGCACTCCAGCCTAGGCTACAGAGGGAAACCCTGTCTCTAAAAACAATAAATTAATTTAAAATATAAAATAGGCCGGGCGTGGTGACTCACGCCTGTAATCGCAGCACTTTGGGAGGCCGAGACAGGCGGATCACGAGGTCAGGAGATCGAGACCGTCCTGGCTAACACAATGAAACCCTGTCTCTACTAAAAATACAAAAAAATTAGCTGGGCATAGTGGCAGGTGCCTGTATTCCCAGCTACTCGGGAAGCTGAGGCAGGAGAAAGGCATGAACCTGGGAGGCAGAGCTTGCAGTGACCTGAGATCGCACCACTGCACTCTGTCTGGCCTGGGCGACTGATTGAGACTCTGTCTCAAAAAAAAAAAAAAAAAAGAAAAAGAAATTGTATATATAAAATAAAACCCTACTAGTTTTGAGTAATACTTGGTATGCACACCTGGCAATGTTTGCTGAATGCCTAGGGTGCAGTATGGGTAGTGGCAAAGTGTTAGGTCTCCGAGGGAGATTGCCTGGGTTTGAATCCTGGTTTTGCCACTTGCCAGCTGTGTGACCATAGCAGCTACTTAACCTCACTAAGCCTTCATTTCTTCATTTTTCTTTTCTTTTTCTTTTTTGAGACAGGGTCCCGCTCCATCACCCAGGCTGGAGTGCAGTGGCTTGATCTTGGCTCAGTGCAACCTCTGTCCTCTGGGCTCAAGCAGTCCTCCCACCTCAGCCTCGCAAGTAGCTGGGACCACAGGTGTGCAACACCATGCCAGGCTATTTTTAGTAGAGACAGAGTCTGTTGCCCAGGCTGGTCTCACACTCTTGATCTCAAGTGATCTGCTGGCCTCGGCCTCTCAAAGTGCTGGGATTACAGGTGTGAGCGACCGCACCTGGCCTCACTTTTTCATTTTAATGAGTATAATAATAATAATATGTACTCCATAGGATTGTTACCAGCACTAGTCCATCTAAAGGACTTAGTACATGGCCTCACACCTCTTTAAATTCCTCTATAAATGGTAGGCACTAATGTTCATGTGTTAATAGGAAATATTACTCTCCTTGCCTCCAGTCCCCTCCCCAGTCTGTAGAAGGCAAATTGAGGCCCAAAAAAGTTCAGTGACATGAGCCAGACTGTGAAGCAAAACAACAGAGCAAAGATTGACATCTGGGAGGCCTGCTTCTTTGCTTAGTACCTGTTAGTCCCCACTATTTAGAGTTAGTTTTTCTTTTCTATCTTACCTTTATACCAAACAAACCCTCTTTCTGAAGCTCCCATTGGTTCATTCTGCTACCTTCAACTGAGAATAATTGAGCACCTCTTATGTGAGAGCATCATGGCCAACCCTGGACACCCAGGAATTGACATAGGATCTGCTCTTGTGAAGTTTGAGCTGTAGTGGTGACAAGTGCCAACAAATATTCACATCCACACATTGGAGTCACAGTCAGGGTTGAGGAGAACATACCCCCAGCAGGAGCAGCTCATGCAAAGCCACGAGGCAAAGGAGGACTTTGCAGAACAGAAACGTGGCCAGCATAGCTGTAGCAGAAGCTAGGGGAAAGAACAGGCAGTGGAACTGGAGGCACAGGCAGTATTCCTGGCATGCAAGGCCGTGTAAGAGAGTAATGAGAGGTCTTTGAAAGAGTTTAAATAATGAAATGTGCCCTTTTAAGATTACCTAATTACTATGTGAAGGAAGAGAAATGCGGGTCAGAAGATGGCAAGGATGGGAATTGAGGTATTGGTGGATTGAACTAGGTTGGGGGCAGTTGAGATAGAGAGAAGCGAATGGATTTGAGAGATATTTAGAAGGCAGACATGACAGAATATTAATTAATTAGGTGGTGGAGAAGGTGGTGAGAAACTGGTTTGGGGCAGAAGATGATCAGTTTTGTTTAGGACATGCTAACTTTAAGGCATCTGTGTAGCATTCCATGTGGGTGGTTGTATTTTTGTGCTCTGGAACTTGGAGGACAGGCCAGGTGCTTCTTTGTAGACCGGCTGGTGATCCGCTAAGACAGTTCTGCACGGTTTGGCCCGTTTTCTCTGACCCTGGGCTATCCCTGTTTGAATATTCTAATGTTGTGTTTCCCTTTGGCTTTTCAGGACTCCAGCCAGGCAATTCCTCTGGTGGTGGAAAGCTGTATCCGGTTTATCAGCAGACACGGTAAGCAGGATGACAGCCTTGTCCATATTTGTGCAAAGATTGGGAAGAACTTCCAGGAATTCTTTGTAGAGTAAGAATAGAGATTGACTTCCCATCCTGGCATTCTCAGAAAAGGAATAAATTCTTACTTGTCCACATAACTTTTGCTACCTCAAAATAGCCACACCTAGACATTGAAAGAAATGCATCATATATTTTGACACAAAATGCCTCAGCCACTTATCACGCAGCATTTTTTTAGCTTGAGAGTAAGTTTGAAATTGCAGCTGTTATGTAAATACAGCTGCTATTATGTGGTAACAGTAGTTTCACCATTACTCACAGTCTTTGCAAGTGTGGGTATCTCCCACTGTACAGCCTGACCATTTTGTCACTTTCTGTACCAGACTAGTTTGAAAACAACTCCTTTCCCAATGTTGCAGTGATTCCTAATAATCAGTTTTTGTTCTGGTTTGGTCTCACTGGATACAGCATGGCCAAGGGCTGAGTTAGTAGCTGGTCTTAAAGTTGTATCCAACTTTTGAGAATCTGCAGAGGCAGGCTGCTTCTCAGCCTAGGTGAAATCATACTCTCTTCTACTTGGATGAAGCTGAATCTTATAAACACCATTCCTCACCAGCTACTGGTCTCATTGGACAGAATTTAGCGATCGAAATAATTGCCAGAGAATTGATTTCCCAGGGATTAGAGTGTTTATAAAGGACAGAACTAGTGCTATGAAAATTTCTAGGAACTGAGCATCAGAAATTGTTTTTAGATGCTGTTCTTTCTGTGATAGGAAAAGGGGCAGAGTGACCTTTCTGGAGCTAAGGAGGTAGATAAAATATTGCTTGTCTAAATTCAGAGGCAGCTATTCTCTCTCCCTCTCCTTGTCTTTTTCTCTCCCTGTAAACTGGGACATTGCTCAGGTTCATTTTTGGAATAGTAATTATTATAGCATGGTTACAATTGATCTCATTCTAATCAGCTATAATTTTTAAATTTTATCCCTATTCATTTAAAGTAACAGCATTGTATATCAGTATTGAACAGTCAACAAATTTATCAAGTCCCTGATCAATGCTGGGTACCATGCATTGCCATGCAGGAAAACAGAAACAGGAATAATATACTCTTCCTGTCTTTAAGTGGTTTTGTGATGCAGTTGGGAGAAATAAGTAAGCAAGTGATAAGTTAAATAAAAAGGGATAAGCTGTGGTAATTCAGAATAGAGTATAAGAAATTTCACAAGATAGTAATGATTAACAGTCAAACAGTTTGCAAAGAAAAGTCCAAACGGAGTTCAGGGGAGGATGAATTATTTGTGCCTAAGAGACAATAGGAAGAAGAAAGTCTGAGCCACTGTTCATTAGCATACATTTCATTCATTGAACGAATACATATTAGTTGCTTATTATATCCCAACAAAAAGTTTCTGCCTTCATAAACCTTACATTCCACTGAAAGGTGGATAAGCAAATGACCAATTGATCAGCCAGTAAATACAGTATGTCAGGTATTGGTGAATGTCATGAAGAAAAGTAAAGCAGGGTGAGGGGATGGAGAAGGAAGAGGGAACACTGTTTGAAGCTGGTTCAGGGAAAAGGCCTCTCCTAAAGTGACATTAGGGCAGAGTTGTGAGGGAGTAAGCCTTGTGGATATCTGGGGAAGAGTATCTTGGGGAGCGGGAACAAGTGCAGAGATCCTTGCCATATGCAGGAAGCCAGCGTAGCTGGAGCAGAGCAAATGAAAAAGGAAGCGGCAGGAGATGAAGCTGGAAGCCAGACTCTTAGGGCCTCATGTGCTAGGATTGGATTTTATTCTGAGGAAGATGGGAAGCCACTGGAGAATTTTGAACAGGGAGTCATCTTTTTAAAGGATCCCTGATGCTCTATGGAGCTAAGACTGTAAGAAGGAGACAGGAAGCAACTGCAGTAGCCTGAGGAAGACATGATGGCGGCCTAGACCAGGGTGTTAGCTGTGGTATTTGCTGAAAAGTGGGCAGGTTCCAGATATTGTGGCATGAATGTACCTGTTTCTGCCCCTTACAGCCACAGTGCGTGAGTGCTTCACCATTACTGTGGTGAAGCTCTGGGGAAACAGGCACATTTATATGTTACTAATGGGAATGCAAACTGATACAACTCTTTGGAAGGGAATTTGGCAGTATCTAACAAAACTTCATATGCACTTACGATCCAGCAGATCCTAGGAATTCTAGAAATTTGCCATGAAGTTACATCTCCAACAATACAAAAATGCATGCGCACAAGGTTATTTGTGACAGCATTGTTTGTAGTTGCAAAGTATTAGAAACAACCTAAATGCCCATACATAGAGGAGTGGTTGAAGAAACTATGGGACATTCATTCAATGGAGTACTATATAAGAATGAGTAAGATTTCCTTGAACTAATATGGAGAGATTCCCAGGATATGTTGTTAAGTGAAAAAAACAAAATGTGAAAGAGTCTATATCATGTAGAATACTACAGATGCTCCTCGGCCTCTAATGGGGTTACGTACGCATAAATCCATAGTAAGTTGAAAATGTACTCAATATACCTAGCCTAGGGAACATCAGAGCTTAGCCTAGCCTGCCTTAAATGTGCTCAGAACATGTACATTGGCCTACAGTTGTGCAAAATCATCTGGCAACACTATACACTGTAGAGTATGTGTTGTTTACCCTGGTAATCACGTGGCTGACTGGGAGCTGTGGCTCTTTGTTGCCGCCAAGCATTATAAGAGAATATCGTACTATATTTTGCTAGCACAAGAAAAGATCAACATTGGAAGTATTTCTCCTGAATGCATATCATTTTGGTACCATCATAAAGTCAAAAAATCATAAGTCAAACTATTGCAAGTCAGGGACTATATATATAGATATTCTTTTGCATTTCATTACCTTTTATATAAGAGAGAAGAAGATATAAGAATATCCACGTATCTTCTCATTTCTGCAAAAAGAAATGCAGGAAGGATGAATCTAGGAACTAATATTTAATTGGTTACTTATAGGGGATGGATGGAAAAAACGTGAAAAGAATGGGGCAATGGGAAATGGTAAGGAGTGGCATTTCTCTTACCTTAGTGTAGTTTTGACTTTTAGAACAACATTAGTGTTTCCTGTACTCAAAAGATAAATAAACAAGCCAAGCATGGTGGCTCATGCCTGTAATCCAAGCACTTTGGGAGGCTGAGGTGGGCAGATCACTTGAGGCCAGGAGTTCAAGACCAGCCTGGCCAACATGGCGAAACCCTGTCTCTACTAAAAATACAAAAAAATTAGCTGGGTGTGGTGTTGGGCACCTGTAATCCCATCTACTCGGGAGGCTGAGGCACAAGAATCACTCAAACCCAGGAGATGGAGGTTGTGATGAGACCACACCACTGCACTCCAGCCTGAGTGATAGGGTGAGACCCTGTCTCAAAAAAAAAAAAAAGATAAATAAATAAATAAAGGCAGAGTATGGGTACAACCCAAAATGGAATGCAGACAGTAACATATAAACCTAACTGTATTACAAGTGAATAACGTAACCACAATGAAGAGAATGAGGAAGAAAATAACCTAAGTAATTTGTCTTGACTGTAATATAAATCTGAAGATAAAAAGATCTCTAAACAAATATTTTACAGTAATTAGTAATTTTTTATCACACAAATATGGATTAGCAATTCTAAAAGTATTTTATATATATTCTAGGATCAAGCAAATATATTGTGGATTTTTTAACAATTGAGCACATAGTAGCTGCTCAAAAAACATCTGTTCCACTAAATTGATTTTTCCCAAATAGGGGCTTAAGGTGCTCATGAACTCCCTAAAAAACCATAGTAAAAATTTTTGTGTATAGGCATCTAATGAGGATAGAGCTCATAACCTGTGTCAGTCTTGAAAGAGTCTGTGGCCCACTGAATGCTGGGGATTTTCACATCCTAACTATCCTCAAATCCCATGGGAGGTAGACATTATAGTCCCCATTATATAGATGAGAAAGCTCAGTGGTGGGTGAGGGTGATTCAGGAAGGCTTAAAGGAAGAGAAGCGATTTGAGGAACAATTGAAACTGAATCATGATGGAAAAAAACAAAAAAACAAACCGCCATTTTCATGAGGAAGGGAGCAAGATAACGTGAACATGAGATGGCTGCTGTAGAAATCATTTGAAGAATTCTCCAGGAGAACAACTTTTGGCAATGGTTGGATCCCGTGCACAATGGAAGGTTTTGTGCCATTTCCAAATAGCTTAGTCCAAGTCTGATGAGTTTTATACTTTCATGTTCATGTGAACTGAGAAAAAATTTAAAAGATCATGGATGTGTCACTTTGGTTATGTAAGGATTCGCCTGCATTATAATAAAAAGCCAACTGGTTTTTCCCTTTACTTTCTGGAAACCAGCCACTTATTAATGTTTCTGCTTCTAGAATCTAGAGATTCTGTCTGTTGAGCAAGAACACATAGTAGTCCCTCCAAAACATAAGTTCTCAGGAGGAAACAGAGACCAGACCTAAAGAGAGCTCCATGTGTTCCAGGCCTGCTGCCTGATTTCCAATGAGCTCTCCTCTCATTTCTTCTTGTCCTGGACCCCCAGGCCAAGGCTGCTTTTCCTTGGTGTCCTAACCTACCAAAAAGTATCAAGATGATGACGCTCTTTCAAGAATTTGTGCAATGGCTTCACCAACTAGAACATAGTGAGTAGCCTGGTTTCCGAGATGACATTTGCTTATACCATGTTGTGACATGTGGCTGTTTCTCTCAAAGCACTTGTTGTTTACATACTATCTTTAAACAACATTATCTGGCTTTTACATCCCATTTGTAACTAGTATTATAGTCCTATTACACTGGTACTAATGAGGTTTTAACATTGCCTGCCACTCTGTGAGGAATATTCTGGAGATTCCTTTATAGGAGCAGACAACTTAAGGCCTATTACAAGCCAGGTAACTATATTTCCTCTGCTTACTTTTTAATGTTGTTTCAGTTGGATTCAAAATATCAGTCCCGGCCTATGTGGTTTACCTCCAAAGGTCTAACTGATAGAATTCATCTGCCTCCTCACTGAGAAACCCTCAAACAGTGGGCAAAATGTAGCATTAGTCCATTTTGTTTTCCTAAAATAAAATTTGAGATTTCTCCAGCATGTCAAGGTTTTTGAAGGATTGTGCCGTAACAGAGGGATTTTGACAGAATGCTTAAGATTGAGACCCAGGGATCCTGAGAAAAGCTGAGCGGTCCTGATGCAATCAGAGATGCTAGTCCAGTCCAACCCCTGGGGCTGGCACTGATGACACACTTGCTGGATTTCTCACCCGTTTTGCAGTTGTGTGTGTGGTGCTGTCTGTAAAGCCATGTCCATGCTCAGACTGACCAATGTGGTTCCAGCCTCTGCACTTGCACTCCAGTAGACTCCAGAAGCCTGGTGTTGAGGACTGAGTATGATTGCAGCCACAAGGCCTGAGTTTGAGTCATGGCCCTGGTTCTTACTTCCTGTATAACTTAAGGCTGACTATCACTCATCAATCCCCTCATCCAGAGAATGAGATTGTTGCCAACCTTTACCTTGTTGTGACATTATTATTTCTGAGGACCAAGTAATTTATTTCTGTGAAAGCATTGATTAGCAGCAGTCACTATGCCAGCATTTTTTTCATGATTTTTTTCTCTAACAAAACCAAGAAATTCTTGTGCACATTATCGTAGTATAACATTCATGCATGTTTGTCTTTAGAGTAAAGCTGTAGTCAGGAACCAGTGCCTAGCACAATGTCTGGCAATACTATCTGTTGACTGATCACTTCATAGCAAGCTTGTTCAACCTGTGGCCCATGGGCTGCAGCACAAATTCGTAAACTTTCTTACAATATTACGAGATTTTGGGGGGATTTTTTTTTTATCATCAGCTATCATTAGAATATTTTATGTGTGGCCCAAGACAATTTTTCTTCCAATGTGGTCCAGGGAAGCCAAAAGATTGGATGCTCCTGACTTATAGTTTCATGTTCTCTCTTTTTCATGAGTATTGAAAGCATTGCCCCCTTGAACAATCAAACCGTGTTAAAACAGCTAAAGCAATATTATAATCTCAGACCTTATGAAACTCCTCTGATGAGAACTAATGCCTTGACCTATTTCCCATTCTTTTTTTTTTTTTTCTTTGAGATAGAGTCCACTCTGTCACCCAGGCTGGAGGGCAGTGGTGTGATCATAGCTCATTGTAGCTTCTAACTTCCAGGTTCAAGTGAACCTCCTACCTGAGCCTCCTGAGTAGCTGGGACTACAGGCATGCTATAAGCACTGTGCCTGGCTACTTTAAAACATTTTTTAGAGACAGGGTCTCATGTTGCCCAGGCTGGTCACAAACTCCTGGCCTCAAGCAGTCCTGCTGCCTCAGCTTCCTGAGTACATTTTTCTATTCTTGACCCTAGATGATTTAAAAAAGTACCAATGGGTCACTTCTTTGCTTTACAGATGGGAAAAGAGAGGCAAAACAAGGGAAGGAATCTGCCTCATAGTCGCCCTTGGAGTCAAAGGAGTCTCTAACTTGGTGCTTTCTAGTGAAAATGAATGCCTCGAAATTATTCCAGTGACTTTTCCAACATCCTTGCACATGTTTTTCTCCTTTGGCCTAAAGAAGAGAGACAGCGTGCTTAAATACATGCTGGCTGGGGGAGACAGATATTCAACTAAGCTTGGCACTATGCTTGTGAATTTGCTTTTTCTTCTTCTTGATCACTTTTCTGTGTATTTCCAGGACTACAGCATGAAGGAATTTTCCGGGTGTCAGGATCCCAGGTGGAAGTGAATGACATCAAAAATGCCTTTGAGAGAGGTAAGGAAACAGTCTTGAAGATAAAACCAAATATTTGCCAGCCCCCTGGGGTATTGGCTCCACCCTTTCTTCTCTAAGAGGTCCCCAGAGGTCAGGAAGCCAACTTCCCTGTCTCTTCAGGGGGTACCTGCTGTCTTGTACACATTCCCCTGTAGATATGCAGAGAAATACCAGGGCACATCCCAGTTTCCTTCTTCTTTCGTAGCCCTACCCATCCTGCCTCTTTCACGCCGATGATCTGCCAAAACCCAAGAAGTTAACTATGATATCTGGGCGGTTTATGGCTTCATCCGGAACCCTTGGTAGCAGTTAATATCAAGGCTAATGCGCTTGTTCATTGTAGCCCATTTATTATTTTGTGGGCTATTAAGGTAATGGGCAAGCTTTGGCAATTTCCGTCACTGTAATGGATATATATAGTGTCAATTTGAGGTTGGCCCTATCATTAAATCTAATTACATCTGATATGAAATTTTCCATAGGGAGCTCTGGCATGATTGTTCTGTAAGTAGGTGTTCTTGGTTGCAGGCCAGGAGACGTGAGAGCCAGTCTCAGGAGCTGGCCTCCTTGGCCTCATTTTTCTCCCCGCAGGGGCTCAGTCCCAGCCTGGTTTCATGATTCTTGTGAGATACAGTTGCTGTGTCCCATCCTCAGCCCATAGGGAATGTCCCTGAGCCAGGCTGGCACAAGAGAGTTTATATTGGTGGACTCATCTGCCGTGCTTTGGTCCTGGAGCCCCTGAAATGGAGCAGTCTTTGCTTTATCTGTTCCCTGGTCTGTCCCACTCATGGCCACCATGCCGGGCAGAAAGCTGATGGATTGGGACCAGGACATGCATGGTTCACCCCTTCCCCACGTTCGTCCTGTGTGTTTTTGCCTCTCTCACTCTCTTTCCTTTTCGTGGGGGTTGCTTATCCTCAGGAGAGGACCCCCTGGCTGGGGACCAGAACGACCATGACATGGATTCCATAGCTGGTGTCCTGAAGCTTTACTTCCGGGGGCTGGAACACCCTCTCTTCCCCAAGGACATCTTTCATGACCTGATGGCCTGCGTCAGTAAGTACCATTCTGGCTTCAGATTGGCTTCTGGGCTACAGCACCGGTAGCAAGAGAGAAAAAGTTTCCACAGGGTCTGTGTGTTCTCATAAGCTTTTCAATGAAGTTTTTCTTTTCCCCAGTGAAATTTCTCCTCAGCCTCACTCCTTCATCCCCTGGTGGGAGGGGAGGAGGAAAGACTTTTCAGTAAGAATCTAGGACCCCCCAAGTCAGTACTCCTGGCCTTTTTTTTTTTCTTCTGATTCATCTCTGGGCTTTATCTTTTTTTAGTAAAATACCTTTATTTTCAATTATGTATTTGAAGCTTATACATTAGTGCTTGTGCTTTTCATGGTACAAGGGGGAAAAGCATAAGCGTTGCAAATATTTCATGCTTGTTGCATTAAACAAGACATGGCTTACCTGCTAAATGTATTAATATGTGTTCTAGGAACAAAAGCCCTCTGCACATTTAAAAGTAGTAATAGGATATTTTCCCAAAGAGAAAGGTATATTCTCTGCTTTATCCTCTTAGGAGTTCTCTGCCTCTTACTCTAAAATTTGGGTCTTGAAAAGCTATTCCTAGCCATTTGGTTTAGCTTGTGGTACTGGAACACCCTCTCATTTGTTTGCCAGGGAAAACAATCAATGGAAACTTGGATTAATACAGGTCAGCCTGGAAGCAGGCCCTGTCTGACTGATGGCTCCAGAGGCTGGAGGGAGTGGTACCTTTGAATGGAGAAAAGATCCTTCTTCCTAGGTTGACCAGATCTTCATACCTGCTGAGTTTCCAGTTTCACTCAGTATCTGCCCTGAGTACTTGTCCCTCTCTGTTATCCTGAGAAATGCCCAGGGCATTTGGGAAGCTGGCTCTCTGGTTTGTTTTGTTGACTTCTGTTTGTGGGAGTCTAGTGGAAGTGAGTTATGTGGGTGATTAAGAATGTGATTCCCTTGGGTCATGTCTTTGTCTTTTTCCGGGACTGGGCCTAGGTGAAGTATCTTAAGCTGAACTGGGGTTGCCAAGACAGTTCAATATCCCTTGGCTGCCCAGTTCTTCCCTAGAGATACACTCTTCTTCCTAATCCAGTACTTCCCATCTCTTTTTCATATAAAGGCACTCATAGAAAATGGCAGTGTTTACATGGCACACTGTGGAAGTGAGAGGCTGCCTATGATGGAGGACCTGTAATTGACCTATAATTAACCTCTCCACAGCACAAGAAAACCTTTCAGGTCTCCTTCCCAATATCACTACATACCCAGGGGCCTGCTACCTCTTGCCTCAGGCCACTTTTTACTCATTCATAGTGCAGATAAGGGAGGGAGAAGATAAGCCACACTTGTCCAGAGGATGAGATGGCATGTGTGGAGTGAGCAGGACAGGCCTCTTGCACAGCCTCTCTTCCCACCGAGAAGTAGGCCCTTTGAGGCTTTGTGTTGAGCAGTTACAGCAGGTTGGCGGCAGCTCCCTGTCAGTGGTTGTTTGAATAAGAGGGTGGTAGATCCTGTGGGGAACATTTCTAACCCCATTTCCTGTGCCCAAATCCAAATCCAAACTTGTTATTAATAACAATGAGATTACAACAACCCTAGTTCAGTTTAATATTAATAATGTGTAATAACGAGTTTGGATTTGGATTTGGCACAGTTCCCTGTGCCCAAGAAGTATACACCTTACATCCGGCAATGGTAAATGTCTGGAGCCCAGCAGGTGCCCTCTTCTAACAGCCCTACTCCAAGGAGCAACAGGGATGACACTCCTGTCACTGCACCAGTGCTGTGCGTGGGCTTGATCTGATGCTGTCCGTGTTGCCCCTGCTGGTAGTAGGGACTTCTGATCATTACTGCCTGGGATCCCAGTCATAGTGGAGGATAACACATGGCTTTCTTCTTTTCAGCAATGGACAACCTGCAGGAGAGAGCTCTGCACATCCGGAAAGTCCTCCTAGTCCTGCCCAAAACCACTCTGATTATCATGAGATACCTCTTTGCCTTCCTCAATCAGTGAGTAGCCTTCCCAGTGAACAGCTGGATCAGGCTTTGGCTTGGGCACTGGAAGTTCCTCTATGGACCTATGCCTATTCATCCATCCCAACAAAATATTTATTGAGCACCTACTGTGTGCTAGCCACAGTGCTAGACTTATTTAATACATCGTTAAATAAAAGATGAAAGCCTTGATATAATTTAGCTCCTGTTCCAGGGAAGGAAACAGCCAATAACAGATATATCAGGTAGAATAAGTGCTTAGAAGAAAAATAAAAAAGAGTAAAGAGAGGGGAAAGAGTAAAGGGGTCTGAATGAAAGGAGGGAGAAGCACTGTAGTTGAGGTGGACAGCAGAGGCCTGCCTGAGAAGACAGTGTACAAGCAGCAGCCCAGAGGAGGAGAAAAGAGTGCCACGGGGCCATTTAAAACCCCAGAGTCATGGTAATAGCGAGTTTGGATTTGGATTTGGGAAGCAATTAGAAGATTTTCTTTTTTTTTTTTTGAGACGGAGTCTTGCTCTGTCTCCAGGCTGGAGTACAGTGGAGCGATCTTGGCTTACTGCAACCTCTGCCTCCTAGGTTCAAGCGATTCTCCTGCCTCAGCCTCCTGAGTAGCTGGGACCCAGGCGCATGCCACCACGCCCAGCTAATTTTTGTATTTTTAGTAGACATGGGGTTTCACCACGTTGGCCAAGATGGTCACCATCTCTTGACCTCGTGATGTGCCCACCTCAGCCTCCCAAAGTGCTGGGATTACAGGCGTGAGCCACCGCACCCGGCATGTTACTATCTGATTTGTGTATTTTATTTTTTTAAAAACTGCCAACTGCTTTGTGGAGAAGTTACTGGAAAGGGTCATGAAGAGAAACAGGGAGACCCTATCCCAAGGTTACCATCTGGTCTGGCCAGAGGTGTTAGTGGCTGAGTCTGGAGAGCGGTGAGGAGGGGTCAGGTTTGTGATACATTTTGAACATAGCATTAACAGGATTTGCCCATGGATTATACATAGAATATGGAGAGAGAAATCCTAAATTGTTGGCATGAGCGACAGGGACATAGGGTGGTCATTTATGGAGTTGGAGAAGACAAGGTGTGGAGAAAGGAATCAAGACAATGTGTTGATGTGGTCATGGTCATTTGAGGCACTTGTGAGATGTCCAAGTGGAGATTTTGAACAATTGGACCTAGGAATCCAACCCTTAAGGGAGAAACCAGGAGTGGAGCTGCCAGTGCAGGAGTTGCCCATGTACTGGTGGTATTTAGCTAATCACCCAGGGAACGGATGTGTCTACAACAAAGGTCTGAGGAGCAGAGGGGGCCGCGGGTGTGGATGGGGCATTTCTTCTCGTCCAAGCAGCATGTCCTTGTGTGGAGCAAGCTTTGGAGTCCCCACATGACAGGAAAGGCACCAAGCAAGGACATGTGATTCTTCCCCTCTGAGGCACCTCTGTCTTTTCACTTTGGTTTTGCTGCAGTTTCGCCCTCAACAGCCTAGACCAAAGGTTATAAATGGGCACCCTGAGAGCCAGATAAAGCCGAAGATGTGTTCTCTTCAGGTGTCTATTGTGTCTTGAGAACAATGAAATCATACTTACATTTGGGGAAATTTCACTTTTTAAAAACCTAGATTTCTAGCTTCTTTTGAAAAATTATTAGATCTGGTGATACTGACTCTGCAGTCCCTGGTGGCAGCAATTCCCTGTGGAGTAAGGGCTGTACTCCCTAGATGGGGCAGGCACTCCCCAATTCACCACAGTCCCCAGCCCTCCCCGTTGTCCCCCAATCCTGAGGCTGAATTCAGTTGCTATTTATCATCACTCTTGTTTTGTGGTTTTCATAGAGAACAAAAATGTTTCTCTGGATCCATGAATCTATCAGAGTAGGGGAAACAAAAGGTAAACCAAGGGACCCAGGTGTTTTTGCACATATTTCTTTGTGAAAATGAGGAGCCTTCTACAAGGTTAGTCTCTGCTTAAAAGGAATACAACTTTAGAGACCATTTCATAAGTGTCAGCTTGCTTCCAAGTTTGTGGTCAACCTGGCCTTATAGGTATCTGGGTTAGTGGCCCCAGCTTGAGACCTTTTCTGGGGCACCCACACTATCATGTAGCCCCCTTGCTGGCCCTTCAGAGCTACAGAGGGTCCTTGTTCCCCATCTTGTCTCTTCCATGCGGTTGTGTCTGCTCTATTCATTGGCCAGGCCCTGACTCAGCACCACCACTGCCTTTGGGTTGAACACCCCAGTGAGTCACACAGCGTGTTCATGTGCAGCCTGGAAACTCTGCTAATTACTCTCGAGTTAGTCCCTTCAGGGCTACCAGTCATTGTCTCCCCTCAGAGACCAATACCTGCCCTCAACATGAGCCTCGTCTGTGCCCCCAGAGCTGGGAGCATGACAGTGGTGAGCAAATGGGGATGAGGGGAAAACAGGGAGGGCTGGGGGACTATATGTGACAGTACAGTGGGGAGAAACAATAGAATAAGCATCCATGCAGGGTTGCTGCTTGCAGAGATGGCAGCCACTATTGAAGACAGCATAGGAATTGCACCAATTCAAATTATTCATTTTGTTTTGCTTTTATTGGGTTTTTTTCTGATTGAAACGAGATTGATTTGCTCATCAAAGTGTTAACATTAAAAAAATGCAGCATTAATAAAGTGTTTTCTAAAATAATAAATAGAATGCAAGACACAAATGATAAAGCAGACCACCTCCACAGGAAGACAGCAGCTGACAGGTGTGCACTTCCGGACAGGGGTAGCAATAGTTGGCAGGTAGCTCCCGATGCAGACTCTGCCTGGGCCCAGACCATCAGGACCCTTTTTCTTCATTGCTGTGAGTCCTGGATGTATGTGTACTTTATTTCTGGCTACTGTTTGTTCTTGGATTGGACACATTGTCAATCTCAAGGAACCAAAAAAGCTAATATCTCAGTTTCTGTGGGTCTGGAATCCAAGTACAGCTTAGCAGGGGCCCTCTGGAGAGGTAATTGCATATCATTAAAAAGTTAAAAATCCAGAAAAGTGCATGCTAAAAAGTAAGTTTCCCAACACCAATCCTGGCGCCCCAAAAAGCCTCTGTTCCTAACCACAATGCTGAACCTTTTTATGAAGCACAAAAGATGAGTTCAAATCAGTTAGGAGAATTCACTAATAATATGAACTGAAACTGTAGAAATACAGTAGAACTCTTTGAGGACATGGCATGAGTGACTACAAGTCGACACCAAAAATTTTAAAGCAGAGAGTTGTTACTAATGTTATCCATTTTAGGTATTTCTTTGTTTTTATTTTGTTGTTGTTTGTTTGTTTTTGTTTGTTTGTTTTTGAGATGGAGTTTTGCTCTTGTCCCCCAAGCTGGAGTGCAATGGCACAATCTCTGCTTACGGCAACCTCTGCCTCCCAGGTTCAAGCGATTCTCCTGCCTCAGTCTCCCGAGTAGCTGGGATTACAGGTGCATACCTCCACGCCAGACTAATTTTTTTGTATTTGTAGTAGAGACAGGGTTTCACCATGTTGGCCAAGCTGGTCTCAAACTCCTGACCTCAGGTGATCCACCCACCTCGACCTCACAAAGTGCTGGGATTACAGGCATGAGCCTGTAATTACACCGCGCCTGGCCTAGATATTTCTTTAAAAATAAAAATCCAGTTTTTTATACTCTTACACTAGACACAGCCTTCAGGGACTTCAAAGATTATTAACACCATGACATTTTACACAAAACTGTGTGCATTTATTTATATGCGCACATATGTGAATTTTTCTGGGGAGAGAATCCCTAGTTTTTGTCAAGTTATTGAAGGAACTTGTGTCCCCTAAATAGTTAAGAACCACTGCTTTAGGACAGGCGCAGTAGCTCACACCTGTAATCCCAGCACGTTGGGTGGCCAAGGCGGGTGGATCACCTGAGGTCAGGAGTTTGAGACCAGCCTGGCCAACATGGCGAAACCCTCTCTCTACTAAAAATATAAAAATTAGCCAGGCGTGGTGGTGCACGCCTGTGGTCCCAGCTACTTGGGAGGCTGAGGCAGGAGAATCACTTGAACCCAGGAGGCAGAGGCCTCAGTGAGCCAAGATTGTACCACTGTAACCCAGACAGGCGACTCCGTCTCAAAAAAAAAAAAAAGAACCACTGCTTCAGCCCCTAAACTTAGATGTTCCCACTGTATATTGGAAAAGAAAAATGGATTTTCATCTGTATTTTGATGGGAGCAAGAAAATAGACCTAGAATCATGAGACCACAGTCCACAAAGATGTGTCCTCTTCAAGCTCCTGGTCATTGTAGCCACCTATGAATTGAACAGTTCTTACCTTAGCAGGCTTCCCAACATTCTTCATCTTCCACAGAGCTTTGACTCAGGACTCTCAGGACTAGAGTTTGTTTCCCTTTGACCATCAGGCTTCCCAGACACTACTGGTTTTCTTTTATGTTACCAAAACATTGTCAGATCACTCTAAAGTATCAAGGCCTTCCTCCTCTTTGTCCCTCCATGACACCAGGAACTGGCCAGCCTTGGATTAGCTACAGCTTAAGCCTGCAGCACCTCATGCCTCAGTTGTTTGCTCTGAGGTTACCAAGGTAATTATCCTCCTGTCCCTCCCCAGTTTTAATTTGACTAGGAAGTAGACTTAGAAACTTCCCCTAGTCTTTTCTAAATCTCTGCTCTCTTTGAACTCAGGATCCGGGGAAGGATTATACACTTTTAAGAACTCCTGTGAAGCAATCCAATGAGATTTGTAACCTCCCCCGTTGCTGGCCTCTCCTGCATTTGATTCCAGGCTCTAGAGAACAGTGATTCTCAACTCTTTTCTCCCATCACGTCCATAATACCACTCTTCAAGTCCTGCAGTGATTCGCAAACAGACAGGGGGTACATCTCCAGGAGGGGAGAGAACCACTGAGTCAGAGGGTAATGGGCTTTGTAATGTGAGGCTGGATGAGGGGTACACTACAGAAACAAACTCTGCAATCAGTTCTGAAGAACAGCTACTCAGATGGAGACAGCTGAGTCTCAGGCCTCGTTTCCCAACAGAGGACCTTTGGTTCCTTCTCAGAATCAAATCCTGCCCATGCCTATAAGGGAGACTCCTCAGCAGAGCTCACAGCTCTGCAGGCTGTGTTGGGGAGGTATCCAGAGCTGGCCCAGCCCTCAATGCCTGGACGGGCAAGGCCCAATGGGACTCATCAGGTGCAGTGGCTCATTGAAGGCCTTGGGTCCTTGGCCAAGGTTGGAGGTGTGGCTGGAACAGCTGCTGGCTGAGAAGGGGAGAGTTCCCAGAATAAATAAATACCCGAGAATGAAGTCAGCCTGCATCCAGAGGAAGCCCGAGCAGAAGCCAAATGGCATGCTGACCTTTTCCTGAAAAAATCCTGAATGTAATAATCTAGAAGGAGATTATGAACACGAAAAACAATTGCATTTGCTGTTCTAGGAAGAAATTCACTGGCTTGATGGAATACGAAAGCTAATCAGTTGGCTATTTGTTAATAAGTCTAGAGGCTAGAAAGGAATATCCCTAATAATTTGATTATTTTGTTATGCAAGAAGGTACACAATGCACAGTGCCTGTGCCTCTGACCATATCTTTACCAGGGCAGCCTGAGGGTCCCCGTCTGCCCTGGCAGCTTAGTATGTTGGTGTGTAGCAGCCATATTCAGCTCTGCAGAGTGACATGTTCTCAAGGTCATGTGGCCTTTGATAGATAAGATCCGGGGATAGGGATGAGGATGGGGTGGTAAGTAGAATTTGAAATGGGAGCTGGAAAGAGAGAAGGGATCAGAGCTGCAAGCAAGTACCTCTAGTTTGCATTTCCTGAGCTCCTGAATGACCATTCTGGTTGTCAGTTTTCTCCCCAGCTTACTTTCTGGAAAGTCTCTGACACCCAGAAAGGCAGGTGGCAATTTGTGGACCTTCTGCTTTTGCTCTTGGCAGCGCCTCCTGTGATTGTGTTTTCTGGGCATTCATGCGAGAGCTTTCCAGCTTGCCCCCTTTCCCTTCTCCTCCAGTTTATCACAGTTCAGTGAAGAGAACATGATGGACCCCTACAACCTCGCCATCTGCTTCGGGCCCTCGCTAATGTCAGTGCCAGAGGGCCACGACCAGGTGTCCTGCCAAGCCCACGTGAATGAGCTGATCAAAACCATCATCATCCAGCATGAGAACATCTTCCCAAGCCCCAGGGAGCTGGAGGGCCCTGTCTACAGCAGAGGAGGAAGCATGGAGGATTACTGGTAGGGGGGCTTGGGACGGGAGGAGGGGAGGGATTCACTAGCACACACTGGCATGGGAGCCAGATGGCCACACGAAAACCAAAGGGAAACACCCAGATCCTCCCAACTCCTCACTCCCAGGCTGCTAGGGTCTGGGGATGCTATAGGCAGCCCCCACCTCGGCCCCACCCACAGACTAAATGCCACTTCTTGCCACCTCCCTTTTTGATGAGTTCTGAGTGGCAAGGGACTATTCTGAAAGATATTGACAACATTAATTGTGATACTAATCTCTAAGAAAGGACTTTTTATAAAGTTGCATCTAGAAGTGATCTTTATTCATCAACAGTGTCTCTTGGGCTTCTACTCTGTGCTCTGTATTCTGAGAAAAACCATCCTGGGTCCCAGGGAATTCCCTTCCTTTTGGGAAGAGTTTAGATAAAAGGCATAATTTCCTGACCGTGAGTTTGTAAGCTGGCACTTCAGAATGATTTTAGAAATTTGTGAAGAGAAAGAAGGGTAAGCCTTGTTTTTGGCAGGTTAGGGACTGTCCTCCCCTGAAGCAGCATTCCATTCTGTGGGGCCAGGTTTTCCATGACCTAGCTTCGGAACAGAGATCTAAAAGGAATCCCTGGGATATATGTTTGCTAGACCCCTCTGTTTGACAAAGAACAAATCACTATTTCTATTTTATGGATGAAGTAGCTGCAACCCAGAAAGGCCAGTGACAGTATTTTAGGCCACTCTAGTGATGGGAATTTAACCCCAATCTCATCTCTTTGTACAGGGTACAGTCCGTTACCCCATGCCACCCGCCATGGTACCATTTACAGCGTCGTTTTTTCACTAAACACAAAGACAACTGCCTCTCTCTTTTAATCCCTAACGTCCCTTACCTCCCCCTCCTCCTCCCCCTCCCTTCTTCCCCTAAATAGTATTTCAGCCTGAGCTGAAAGCACAAGCCAGCCCAAATCGGATTCTGTCTGAATTCAACATCTGGAACCAATTCGGCCAGCCCCATTGCTATCGACTGAGGTAGGGGAGGACAGGGGAGGTTGTTTACTTAATTAGAGGCCAATTGGTCCACGCTTCTCCCTGACCCCCACAGAACAGCCTCTTGCCCAAGGAGTGAAGAAAGTGGCATTTGTGTTCTGTGAACTTAGTAATACCAGTGACATCCCTGGGTTCATCCCTCTCTGCTGTACTGCAGATTTCAGTGTCTGGGTCCAAGCTGGAGGAACCTATGCTGGCCAGCTGGGAGAGAAAGCTTTTTGTCACCGACAGATGGTTGGTGGTGACTGGGGAGGTTGTTGGTCACTTTAGGTCTCAGCCTACTGGATGATGAGCTCCAGGGAGCTGTCCTTGTGCATGTGACTTAGAGCTTTGGTTTTCCCCCTTGCATGCGTGGTGAAAAGCTGTAGAATAGCATTCCCTTCCTTCTAAAGTCAGGCAGAACCTCCGCCCTCACTTCTCAAACATCAAACCACTGCAGGCTCTGGTCCAGTGCCCGGGGCACAGAGACCCCTACAGCCCTGGCCCCTGAGTCCCAGCCCAGTGGGTCAGAGTCCTGGAGGGGTGTGGCTCACGGGGACAGGTGCCTTCCTCCAGTTTCCTCCAAGATAGTCTCCCAACCTACCCACCTGTTTCTTGTGCACTCAACATTTATTAGCAGCCTCTGGAAAAACCACAAGATTAGTCAGGGAACATTACTACCGCAGACTGTGTGGGAGGCTAGAAGCACCTGAGGAACAAGAGTCAGCAACCTTGGGTTGAGAGGGACCTTCTAACCGCTGGATTCACACCCACCTGGAAGGCTCATGGCCTCTCCTCTCCCTTCTTTGGGAAGTGAGAGAAGTGCCAGCCCCGGGAGCTAAGGCAGTAAGGAGGTGAGTGAGGGTGGTAGAAGGGGAGATAGAGCACTAAGAAGAGAATGGAGAATGATCAGGAGACCCAAACAGCCATGGAAAGGAGAGCACCAGGCCACATGGCCTCCCCACAGCTGTGGAGAGGAGAGACAAATCCATTTCACCACACTTTCCAGTCCTGAAACTGGAACCGGTTTTCTAGGACTACCGGCTGGGTGGCATGGTGGACTGCTCCTGAGACCTCAGGTATTTTTGGGTCTGGTGGGTGCACAAGAGCAAAGGCTGGGGATGGAGTGTGTTTCAAGAGAAGCATAGGATTTTAGGGCTAGAAGAGACCTCAGAAAGCATCCTCTTGCCTTTCTCATAAAGCAGTGGTTTTCAAAGTGAGGTCCCTGGACCAACAGCATCTGTGTCACAAAGGACTGGTTAGAAATGCACGTTATTTGGCTCCACCCAGACCCAGTGACACAGGAACTCTGAAGATGGGGCGCTGTTTTTTAACAAGCCTTCCATGGCTCGCTGAAGTTTAGAACTGTTGCCTTACTGGCTGGCTGTGTAAATAAACTTGAAGCCCTGAGGGAAAGTTTGCCTTTGAACCTCTCCCCCGCCACCCCCACCATCTCAAAGGTTTCCAGAACATTACAAAATTCATCAGATTCATCAGATGGTTTTTAGCCCTAGAAAACAGTGAGAAATTGTGCCTACATTTTTTGACAAAGAGGAATCTCCGTTTATATTCTTCTAGAATGTTCTCTGGAGCCTGGGAAACCTCCTTGGAAGTGACTTGCTCTACACAGGATGAGTTCTGAACTGGTCACCCAGTCTTTGAGGAACTTCCCAGGAGTGTAGGATCCATCCCATGGGGAAAGAGGCTTGAGGGTTCCAAGGTGGAAACTGTGCGGCCAGGCTGCCAGGCTGAGTGGGTGATGGTGCTTTCACACAACTGCCTGGAAAGCCTCACCTGTTACTGCCTACTACCAGAGGAAGAACTTTAGAAATGAACAGTTTCTCTACTTTTCAGGAAGTAAGAACTTCCTGGTGCCCATCCTCATGAGTTCTGAAGTCCATGAGCCAGGAGATCAGGAATAGAAATGACTTTCCTAGTAACCTCTCTATCATTTCTCGATTCCTTACACTGGATGATTTTTTTTTTTTTTTTTTTTTTTTAGACAGGATCTTGCTCTGTCACCCAGGCCAGAGTGCAGTGGCACGATCATGGCTCACTGCAGCCTCGACTTCCCAGGCTTAACCAATCCTCCCACCTCAGCCTCCAGAGTAGCTAGAACCACAGCATGCACACTGGCTTTTTTTTTTTTTTTCTTTTTTTGTAGAGACAGGGTCTCATTAAGTTGCCCAGGCTGGTCCCAAACTCCTAGACTCAAATGATCCTCCCAAAGTGCTGGGATTACAGGTGTGAGCCATTGTGCCTGACCTACCCTGAATGATTTTAAATTTCATGAATTATTTCAAGAACTTGACCCAGCTTCTCTCCCCTGCCCTCCAACCCGTAATTGGATCCTGCCCTGTAGCCCATAGCAGATTATTCCTCCCCTACTTTTGTTTCCCACCCTCTCCTATGACTCACCTTCCACTTTTTCACCAGTTCACAGTCTGAACTGCAAAGCAACCTAGAGGCATCAAGCAAAATGAGAAAGAAGGAAAGCAAGTACTATTTATTAAACACCCACTCTGTGCCAAACTTGTGACTAAATTACTTTATTAAATCCTCACACAGCTGAGGATATAGATCTTTATCTTCAGTATATAGATGAGGCAGCTGAGGCTTAAGGAGATTAAATAACTTGCCCAGGATCACACAGCTACCAAGTATCAGAGCTGGTTTTCGAATCCAGTTTTATCTGATGCCGAAACCCAGTGTTTCCCTTCCACCCTGCTTCCCCTTTGAAAACCAGGAATGAATTCACATAGAGAATCAGACCTTGAGGAGTTGAGTTGTTCTCTATTTTCTAAAGAATTTAGTTTATACCTTCAAAAGGGCTTCCCTTTGTCTTGAGATATTCTAAGTTCCAAGTAGTCTCAAGTGGTTTTTGTAGCAGGAGCTAGACTGGAAAAACTCTAGAGCTTTGTATTTCATTATAAGCATTTGTCTATTGTGTGCAGTTAGGATATAGAGAGCATAAGATGGATTCAGTGCCCTCGCGCCAGGGAGGCTGTATGAAGGGGAAGACAAGAATTTTATGAGCACATGTTAATGTCCCTGTCACTCTTGCTTCTGTTGCAGTGATAGCCCTCATGGAGAGACTACCTCGGTTGAAGACTCAACCCAGGATGTGACCGCAGAGCACCACACGAGCGATGACGGTACGAGGCCCTGCTTCCTGGTCAGTGGGGACGCCAGGGGTGAGGCAGAAGGAAGTGATTATATATCCTGTGCATCTGATGAACCTGTCTGCCCAGCGGTCCCCTGAGGGCAGGCAGAGAGCTCCCTGTCTCAATTTCATTCCCTTCCTTCCTTGGAGAGGTAGCCCACCTTCTCAAATAGAATCGCTCGTATTAAACCAGAGGTGAAGAACTAGGCCTTTCATAGCCCTTCAACCTTCTTGCTCCACCTCCCAGCTCCTTGTCTGGCCTGAGTGCAGCATGATGTTGGTCCCTTATCATAGCCTAGACTCCTGCCAGACAGCTGGAGAACAAAGTGAAGGAAAGTACATTTGAAAAACAGTAAGCAATTGGGTGTGGTGGCTCACACCTGTAATCCCAGCACTGGGAGGCCCAGGCGGGAGGATCACTTGAGTTCAAGAATTCAAGACCAGCCTAGGCAACACAGCCAGACCCTGTCTCTTAAAAAAAAAAAAAAAATAGCCTGGCATGGTGGTGTGCAGCATCCCTGTAGTGCCAGCTACTTGGGAGGCTGCGGTAGGAAGATCCCTTAAGCCCAGGAGTTCAAGGCTGCAACAAGCTATGATTGTACTACAGTACTCCAGCCTGGGTGAGAGAGTGAGACCCTGTCTAAAAAAAAAAAAAAAAAAAAAAAAGTAAGCCTGGGGTGGGAAATAGCAGAGCTGGTTGCCCGGAACCCAATAGAAGCAAGCCAGAGGGAGTGGGAATGAGGATGCAGAAACCACATGCTTTCACGCCTACCGACTGGAAAAACTGACCCTTTCCAAAGTACAGACATGCGAGTGCCGAGCAGCGTGGTGGGCGTGCATCAAGGGGAGGAATGCTCAGCTGTCATCCTCAGGCCCCTCAGCAGTGCCCATGCTTTATGAGGGTCTGTCCAGCCAGCACATTTCCCCCGCTTCCAACAGCTCCACACCTCCTCTGGATCACATGGGCTCTGGAAGTCTCAGCAGCTGACAAGGGGCCTCAGAATTTTCTGGGCACAAGAATGAAATGGCAACAGTCTGTGGAGTTTTCCCTGTTCCCTGCCTTGCTGGGAATTCTGCAATTCTAGGCCAGCTTTCAAAGGAGAAAAAAAAAAAATAGGACTGCTTATTTAGATCCTGATGTCATAAGGATCCATATGATCATTTGCTACATTCGAGGAGGGGAGTAGGTGAACTAGGAAAATGAGTAGTGGGTTAGAGCCTACCTCGTGGCCAGCTCTGCTAGAGGCTTTATATATGTTATCTCTTAATCTGTAGTGAAAAAGATATGGCCGCTATTTTACAGTTGAGAAAATGCAGGTCAGGGAGGTCGAGTAACGTACCCGAGGCTGTAGAGAACTAACTGAGGTGGGTATATTTAGACAGGCCTTCTCTGACCAGCCTCCTATAGTGAAATCTCCAACCCCTCCTGTGCAGGAGCAGACCCACCAGCTAGGGCCATCTAGGCATGGTCTTATTTTTAAGCAGCCTTTCTCTCTGCTTCCCAGAATAGCCGACTTTCATCTCAGGTTCCAGCTTTCTGGGAGCCTTCTCTTTGCTCTTTGATCTCTACCTGCAGCCTAGCACAGACGAAGATAATGATAACAATAAGTCATGCACACATACCACTTACTATGGGCGGGACACTGTTCTAAGCACTTTTACAAATTGTAATTCATTGACTCTTCATAACAACTTCATGAAAAAGACACGATTATTAATCTCCATGTTACAGATGAGGAGACAGAAGCCCACACAAAAATAAAGATAGATTGCATTCGTAGACCCCTTTTACTTTTTTAGATTACTTTCATGTGCATTTTTTTCATAGGTTGGTCACAAAATATATTTTCATATTTTGCTCCTTGGAAAGTTGATTGAGCAAGTTATTTTCTCTTTATAGAGAGACAGAAAGCTCACATTCTACTTACTAGGGGGAATGGATAACATAAAATATTTAGAATACATGTATGTATTCTAAAAAATGTATGATACATTTTCTACAATTACTGGAATTATTATATAATTAGAAAAGAAATAATGCTTAAAAATATAGTATGGCAAGTTTGATGATAGACGTCAAGGCATGAAGATCTTTGGAAACACCAAAGAAGTTACTGTAGAAAGCAGGGGATGCGGTCGGGCGCGTGGCTCACGCCTGTAATCCCAGCACTTTGGGAGGCCGAGGCAGGCAGATCACGAGGTCAGGAGATCAAGACCATCCTGGCTAACATGGTGAAACCCCGTCTATTAATAATACAAAAAATTAGCTGGGCGTGGTGGCACACGTCTGTAGTCCCAGCTACTTGGGAGGCTGAGGCAGGAGAATCGCGTAAACCCGGGAGGCAGAGGTTGCAGTGAGCCAAGATCGAGCCACTGCACTCCAGCCTGAGCGACAGAGTAAGACTCCATCCCAAAAAAAAAAAAAAAAAAAAAAAATGGGATGCTTGAGTTGTGTTTTGATGTGCTTCATCAGGCAGATAAGAGAGAAGAAGATTCCTGGTGGAGGGAACAGTGTGAGCAAAGGCAGGTAAAAGGTGATACCAGTGCTTTCAGGATAATGGTATAGTCTGCGTGAGAATTACTTGCTTTATAGATCATCCATGGCTTCGTTTTCCCACTAAGTAATTTCCTACCACTGTAAGTTCAGCTAATTCAGCTTTTCCACCCAGTTTCCTGAGTCTGCAGGTCCCAAGAACATGTGTTTACTTCTTTTCCACCCTTCTCAGAATGTGAGCCCATCGAGGCCATTGCCAAGTTTGACTACGTGGGCCGGACAGCCCGAGAGCTATCCTTTAAGAAGGGAGCATCCCTGCTGCTTTACCAGCGGGCTTCCGACGACTGGTGGGAAGGCCGGCACAATGGCATCGACGGACTCATCCCCCATCAGTACATCGTGGTCCAAGACACGTACGTTGGGCCCATGGCATCTTTGGGGGTGGTCCCCAGCTGCTCTATGGGAGTGAGACTTCATTTCTGGAGCCATAGGACTATGAGGGAGGCCAACCCCTGGGGGGTCCAGTGCAGTCCTGAGGCTCACACAGTTCCTTGAAGAGCACCCCCCCCACCCCCCGCCCCACTCCCTGCACTCAGTGGAGAATTTTTTTAAATCTCTCCACTATCTGTGCCCCCTGCAAATCACCCCCTAATCCAGTCATTTTAGAAACCTGCCAGCCAGCCAGCACTCATCCATATTTATACCTGATGAGTGATAACAAGGGGTTTTTATTTGACCACCTATATTTCTTTTCTCGAAAGATCAGGCTGGGAAAACATTTTTGTTACTCTCTTTTTTTTTTAAACAACTATGCTCACCCCAACCTGTTGAGCCACTCTTCCACTTGCAAATTAAAATGACTGGTTTTCTAGGAGAAATCCGGCTTAAGCAGCCTTATGGAAGTGACCTAGTTCATTTAACCGAGATGAGGTTGATATAGGGTAAGATGGGGGAAGGAGGGAAAAGGATGTCAAGGAACAAAGGAAACCTGAACTGGTCCCAGAGAGATCTCATCTGATAGGCTGTTGGTTGATTCTCACACTTTGAAGCAGTTGTCCCGTGGGCCCACCCAAGCCTGCCCCCTGTCCGTTTGCCCTGTCTCTGTCCCCAGCTCCCCTCCCTTGGATACGATGCTGTCAGTGTTTTTAGTCCTTCCCTTAATATTATTTTTTAAAGGTTGATATCCTGAGTGAGTCTGCACCCTCCCAGCCTCTTCCCGGCTCGTTCTGCAGGGAAATCCTCCCTCTGTTGATAGCATCGCAAACCTGGTGGCAATCTGTGCGTGGACAGGACCCTCCCAAATTTAGCATTATGACTTCACCACAGGATCAAGAGAAGATGAATTGTGGGGGAGAAGGGGCTTTCTTTGTCATCAGTAGCCAGAGGGGCCAGGAGAGCAGTGGAGAGACCTGGGACCGGCTTGGATGCTCTGAGCGGGGCTAGAGGCGCTACGACAGTGTGTGGCGGTGTCCTGCCACGACGCCGCCGTCTCCAGAGCCACCACACAGTTG
The DNA here is from genome assembly GCF_000001405.40 of Homo sapiens. Lineage (NCBI taxonomy): Eukaryota > Metazoa > Chordata > Mammalia > Primates > Hominidae > Homo > Homo sapiens. Next base: position 206,454,479 of record NC_000001.11, read on the forward strand.
ACTGTCCTTACCCGGCAGTGCTCAGGACCTCAGCCGATAAACCACAACCTGGACTTGCCGCCTCCTTCTCCAGGAGGCCGCCCCAGCACGGCCTCCCCAGGAAGCAGCATGGGGTAGAAGGCAGATGCCTCGAATCCAGGTGTCCCCTAGCCACGCTTTCCTGAGGAGCTGAGGAGCCCGCAGAACTCAGCGGATTATTTATTTTTATTTAAACGACCCTTCAAAGGCCCTTAGGTTTCCTTGCCTCTGCTCACAGAACTAGTCCAGCCAGGTGTCGCTGCTGCCTCAGAGCTGTGTGGGGTCGCGTGTATGTCGGGGGGCCATCTTGCCGATTTAACGCTGCTTTTTGTGTTGTTGTTGTTTTCCCTCCTCCCTGCCTGCCTGCCCCTTCTCCCCCAGCGAGGACGGTGTCGTGGAGAGGTCCAGCCCCAAGTCTGAGATTGAGGTCATTTCTGAGCCACCTGAAGAAAAGGTGACAGCCAGAGCGGGGGCCAGCTGTCCCAGTGGGGGTCATGTAGCCGATATTTATCTTGCAAACATCAACAAGTAAGCTCTGCTTTTCATTTTCTGCTCCCCTGAATGACTTGCAACACCCAGCCTCACCCTCTGGCCTAACCCCCATCTCCATTCCTGTGCTGCACGTAGGGCTCCCAGCTCCCCCAGCCTAACAGTTTGCATGTGGTCATTGCTGCTGCAAGGCGGACAGGGCTGAGGATGCTGCTACAAGCCTCGGGGCAGGTCCAGGTCTCCAGCTAGCTGCCCTCGTGCTGTGGAAGGGTGCTTTACTGTGTGTTCCCGCAGTGTCTGTCCACCCAGACCTTTGTGGCAGTCTTACAGCTAAAACTTTGACCAAAGCTTTGGTCACTTTATGCAACCTGGTTTTGTACTGTTTCTCAGAGGTGCCTTCTTTTTTCCAATCCATACTCAAATAATAGTCTTTGATGTCTGTCTTCCTTGACCCGTGTTCGTGCAAAGATTCAGAGTCTGTGTGTGGCTTCTACTAGGCTGATGTTACACCAGGTGGGTTTATTGAGATATCATGTGTCTGTTCCTCCCCCTGTCCTGCATTCACTCCTGTGGAGGAAAGGAGGCCACGATGTCCCTAAGGAAAGCTTTGTCCTGAGCTCTTCATTCATTGGCTAACCCCTAGCTCCCTTTTCTTCTGCCCTTTCACACCAGGAGAAATAATTTTCCATTTTGTTCCTATTGCTTTGGCCTTTTGTATTATTCTACCCCCTTAGTCCCTTTGCAGATCCCCACTCCTGCTCAGCAGGCTCTTACCTCTGACCCCCAGCTTTCATTGTGGCTGTTAGCAACATCCTGGGGTTTAAACTCCACCCACGCCCGATCTGGCTGTCTAGAGGGATTCTACGCCTGCGTGCTGCCGCCTCCCCAAGAGGCATTCAGGTTATTGGAGAACTAATCTCATCTCAAGGGGCCAGACACCAAGTCCCAAAGCCTACAGACCTCTTTCCGCCAGGCCCTGAAACCTGGCCCCGTGCCAGCAGGATGACAAGCCCCAGGGCGCTCCTGATGAATATGGATTGGAGATGATGTACAGTTTTTATTCCCCTCTGGCTTTTGAGGAATGAAATGATTTGCACTTTGAAAACCTGTTAACCGTAGCCTCTGGACACTGAGACTGGAAGGAGAATAAAGGATGCTTGTTGTTTTTAAACTATACCAGGTTTCCCAGATCTCTTGGCTTTTTTCCACCCAGACGGTAGCAGGGGGAGTGGTTGGGGCACGTGGCTCTTTTCCATCTCTTTCACCCTCAAGTTAGTAAAGTCGTTTATTCAGATCACTTACTCAGTGTAGTTATAATTTAATTCAGACCAGTTAAAAAAAAATTGAGAAGTTTCTGTTTCCCTCCAGCACACTGCCCTGCTGGGAGGGCAAGCCAATATCAAGTAACTGTGGGCTAATCACATTTTTTTCCTTATTTACAATTCTGTGTTAAATTGTAACCCTACAATCAAAAGGTCGTGATCCTATAATTAACTCAGAAACCAAGGCGGGGTTGGTGGAGGAAGAGTTAGATAATTAGTTAAGTACATATTTTTAAGCCATCATATATTTGATGCCATTTGTGCATAGAAATTGTAGAGAGTAATAACTGAAATGGTAAACAGAAGAAGAAAAAAAAAGAGTATCTGTAGACAGTTAAGGTGGTTCCCTTGAACTCCTTGTTTGCTGGTGTCAGGAGTCTTGGGATGGGGTTCTTGGAGGACAAGCCTCATCACCTGGTGGGTGGGTGAGCGGTGGCCCCGGGGCATGTCTGGCCCTTAGAAGTGAGTCGGCCTTTGAGTCTTACCTCCTGCCCCCCACGCCACTCCTCCTCCCAAATTCCTTGAGTTTCCCGAGTGCCCAGGTTCTCTTTCGCCCCTGGGCGCTCACGCCTGCTGTCTCCTCACCTGGTCACCTCCTCATCTCCCTTCAAGACTCAGTCCGAAGACTTAGCTCTTTGGGGAAGCCATTCTGACATCCCTGACTTCCCCAGGCTGAGTGAGGTGCCCTTATGCTGCATTCCAAAGACACTTTGAATACCTTTTGGTACTCACGCTTCACTCAGATCCCCCACCAGATTGAGCTCCTTGAACCCAGGAACTATATCTTCCTTTTCTTTACATCCCCAGGGCCTAGCCTGGGACATGGCACACCACAGCCACCCCATAAATCTGTCTTCTCAGCAGTTTCAGCCCATGAGTCAGCTATCCTCAAGCAGAAAAAGGAAATCAGCAAAGAGCTATTAGGGTGTGGCACTTCCATTTAATTCTACACATTTATTAAGTATCTACTGTTGTGCCAAGCACTGCTGGTGTTTATTCAGAGATAAAAAAGACGAGGTCCCTGATCTCAGAGCTCACAGTCTGGCAAGGTAAAGACCCTATGGACAGGTAACTGACAGGTAGCATCAGATGCTCTGAAGGTACAGAGGAGGGAGGGGTCCATTCTTCCTGCAACTGGAGTTAGTGGTGCAGTGGTGCCAGTGCAGTTGGAGTTAGTGGTGCCAGGGAAATCCTTGCAGAGAGGGGGTTCATTTCAGCAGGGCCTTAGAAGACTCTGAGAACATCCTTTTTCCACTCGAGAGCGGCTGAGTCACAAGCCTAAAACTGCCGAGTGGACAGACTCACGGAGTGACTGATACATGCCAGGTCCTGGGCCAGGCCCTGCAGGCAGAAAGATGAGGAAGACCTCAGCAGTGAACAGGACTAGGACTGGCTTAGAGCACTGTCCCCACCTCACAGACCAGCTCCTTATCTTCAGAGTCTAACCCCTTCCCTCCTTCCACCTCAACTCCTGCCTCAGCCCCCATCTCTCTTAGATTCAAGATCAGAGCTGTTCAGCAGCCATCCAAATCAGAAGTTTCATTGCCTCTTAGATTAGACCTTTTCAGATCTGATTCCAAGACAAAATGAAATTATCCAGCAGCAGGCAACACCCATGTAACTGGGATTCTGCCAAGCCATTTTGTCTGAGAGCCCTAAGTGGTCTGAAACAAATTCGCCCAGATCCAGGGTTCAGCCCAGTGCTGGGTGACTTGGGAGTCATGTAGAGGTATTTCCACACTAAGAAAACGCACAAACTGGGCCCCAACTCTGCAGTGTTGCTGCCTCTTGAAAACTATTCTGCTCCATGCCTACAGAATAAGCAACAACAGCCTCTTGCCAGAGCCCAAAACAGTTACAGTCTTTTTGGAAAAAGAGTCATGCTAAAATTTAGAAAAGTTAACTATCCTCTTACCAGCAATCTTGACCTCTTTGGTGATGGTGAGACTTCTTCTCCTAGCTGGGGCCTTAGGTTTCTGTTCATGGCAGGTCACAGAAGGGGCCTTTCCATGAATCTCTTTCCCATTAGAAACCTTCGCTTAATCAGACATTTTTTCTGACAGCAACTTACATCTTGACAACACAAAGCCCGTGACCACCAAGTAAGTATCCATTTCTCCTTCACCCAGCTTGGGGGTGGCAAGGGAATGAAGACATGGAGAATGCAAGAGAAGATGAAGCCGAGGAGAGAACGAGTTCTGTGTCCCTCTCCTTCCGAAGTCCCTGGGTGCCAACATCTGCCCCCTCCCACTTATCCTAGCTTCCTTGGAGCCAGGGCTCCCTGATCACACTGCCCTTTCTGTTTGTGATTGAAGGCAAAGGAAGCGTCCAGAATCTGGGAGCATCCGGAAAACTTTTCGGAGTGACAGCCATGGGCTGAGCAGTTCCCTGACTGACTCCTCCTCCCCAGGGGTGGGGGCTAGCTGCCGCCCATCCTCCCAGCCCATCATGAGCCAGAGCCTCCCCAAAGAAGGGCCAGATAAGTGTTCCATCAGTGGGCACGGGAGCCTCAACTCCATCAGCCGCCACTCATCCCTGAAGAATCGGCTGGATAGTCCACAGATCCGGAAGACTGCCACAGCGGGAAGGTCAAAAAGCTTCAATAACCATCGGCCCATGGACCCTGAGGTCATTGCTCAGGTAACTGTGGGCTCCTGGACAGACAGCATGAGTCTACATTCATCACTACCACTTAGTGCCACCCACCTAATTATGACAGGACTTGAAACAGAATGATTATTTTGTATGTGATATACTGAGTATATGTCCACTCTGGACATGTGGACCCAATAAGACAGCTTAATAAGTGGTCTGCCTGTCCCTCTCTCCCCAGGAAGAACCTAAAGACAGAATAAAAGAAGCCTAGCTTCTTGCTCATACACTGGCTATTAGGAAGGCTGTTGTAATTTTTAAAGCCGGTATTAAGAGTATTTTGAAAGCCCAAGTTTTGAGTCTAAAGACCTTGGTAGACTTTAGTGAAACTGCCCGACTGTTGAGGATCAGGTGTAATCCTGGCCACATGTTTATATTGCTGTGCCCATCACCATCATCCCGATTCCTAAGGCTAGTCTCTGGTACCGAATGGGTAGATGATCAATTAAGAACCTGCACCTGGTTTTAAAGACCTAAAAAATACTCTGGCTGCAGAGAGCTCTGGTAACCAAAAGGATTTGCAGCCCAAGCCTCCAGAGGCTATGGAGATGAGCTCCCTGGTTGCAGGGTCTTCCTTCTGTGTATGCACCGCACTGATGACTCTCTGTTTTCCATGAAATATTAGAGATCCAACCCCACCTCTAAAAATCCGACTACCGGGGCCACTCCAAGCAGTTCACTCAGACGTCTCTCCCAACTATATAATTTTCATTAGACCAGGTAGGAACTAAGGGCTTATTGTTGCCTTCTTATCTCAACTGAGTTGAGATTCTCCTTACCCCATCTTCCAGGGGGTGATAGAGGCTGGGCATGGTCTCTCTTGGCTTAATTGTGGTTCTCTGCTTACGGAGATGTACCTGGCAAGCCCAGTATTGAGCTACAGGCCTGAGATGTCTTGCTTTGCTAGCCTTCTATTCTGTGCCTCTATTTAAGCTCTTGGCTGCAATCTGCCTTGCGCTACGGGAATCCTCCCAGCTCCCTCCTTGGCCAGGTGTTAATAGGAATGTCAGGAAAGGTAGACAGCTGGGACAGACTAGCTGTAGAGTGCGACTGAGGAGGGAGATGGAGTTCTTCCTGAGCATTTTAAAGGTTTGAGAATGTCATAGGGATGAGTGAAACTGAATCACTGTGAACAGAAAGCATGCATCGGTCTGTACGACAAAGAAACCTTAACCAAAGGCCTTCGCTTGGAATGTGTAAAATCTTTCCATGTGAACCTAATCCCAAGAAGAAATCCTGTGGTAGTTTGGGGGTGCCAGACACAGGTTTATGGGGAGGGAGCGGGGAGCTGGGAAGTCTCACTGGAAGGCAGCTGGCTTGCATACAAAGGTTCTTTGGTTCTGCCTTGAGTCCCTGGGCTAGGACTGCTGTTGGCTAAAGATCTAGAGTGTTCCATTGATTTGCAGGCAATTGATTCACCTATGTGGGCTTTGGCTCCCCTTCCTGGTCATTCTTTTGTCCCCTTGGTGGTGATGGCTGGAAGGAAATGGTTTCAAATTGGACACTGCCCTGAGTTGGGGAGGAGGGGCGGGGGGAGGCGTATTGGGCTCCTGAAACTTTCCTCAGCCCCTGAGGAGGAAGGACTAACCCTCTTCACCTTTGGCCTTGAAGTCCAAGAGAATAAAGATCATACATCATCTCTACCACTTTTTAAAAAAGTGTTTATTATGTACAATTTCAAACCTACCCAAAAGCAGACAGAACTGGATAACAAATCCCCATGTACTCATCACCAAACTCCTGGCCATTCTTACTTTGTCCGTGTTTCTCTTCCCCACTAGATTATATGTCACTTCGTCGATAAGTATTTCAATATCTATCTCTAAAACCTAGGGTCTCTAAAAAAATATCAATTACTTTTTCTAAAGGAAAAAAAAAAATCTCATGACAGTGAAAATCCCTCCGTCCCCCTTTCCCTACTTCCTGAGCATTCATATGTTCAAAGATTTAGGCCAAGTACAATAATCTGGACATCTTACGGTCATTTTCTTCATGCCTTGGCCTGTGTTGTTGAAACCGGCTCCTTGGGGAATTCTCCCCTCATTTGCCTCACCTCCTCCTTTTTCCTGTTTTGCAGGATATTGAGGCAACAATGAACTCGGCCCTGAATGAGCTACGGGAACTAGAACGGCAGAGCAGTGTCAAACACACCCCTGACGTGGTTCTGGACACCTTGGAGCCCCTCAAAACCTCCCCAGTGGTGGCCCCCACGTCAGAGCCCTCCAGCCCTCTGCACACCCAGCTCCTCAAGGACCCCGAGCCCGCCTTCCAGCGCAGCGCCAGTACTGCTGGGGACATCGCCTGCGCCTTCCGGCCTGTCAAGTCTGTCAAGATGGCTGCCCCGGTCAAACCACCAGCCACACGGCCCAAGCCCACTGTCTTCCCCAAAACAAATGCCACTAGCCCTGGTGTCAACTCATCAACTTCCCCACAGTCTACTGACAAGTCTTGTACTGTCTGAGGGATAATAATTTAATTGTTCTAGACAAGGGGACTATAGGGACTGACTGTTATTAAAATCTTCCTATTTAACTAGCTTGGGGACTTCAGTTGAAAATTAGGTTCTAAGTTGTTCTTGCAGGAATTAGCCTCCCCGTCTCCCAAAACCTTGAGAATGAAGCCCTTGGTATCGCCTCTCCCTTCCCACTGCCCTCTGCTTCCCCCAGTCGTCGTAATTCAGCCAGCTGCAGTCCGTACCGTTCTTAGGTTAGCCAGAGACAGGTTTTCATTATCAGGTCACTGTGAAATCTGGTAAGGCAGTCCTGAGGACATGGGCTCAAGTCTCAGTCCCCTCAGACCACGGTGATGCCTTGACCAGATGGTTGGCTACTGCCATCCAGCTTTCAGTGGCATCTTGTTTTGGGAACTGATTATAGAGAATCATATATAGTCCAGTCTTCATTTTACATACACACACATATTTTACACACACACACATTTTACACACACACACACACACACACACACACATATGTTTTTCTAGTCTCTGGCATGTGTAGCCTCTCCTGGTCATAGACCAGTCTCTTTGTAAGTTATTGTGGCAGTTCACACAGTAGCCACCAGGGGTCTCTGTTTCCATCACAAACTTTGTTCTGTCTGGGCCAGAGAACCTAGCCTTTGAAATCTCTCCATCATATGAAACATAACGGGATGGGACAATCCCGTAACCTGTTTGGGGTTGGGGGCTTTCTCTCTGTGTTCTTTCCATTGATGTGAATTGGTCATTGGTGTTTGCTCTTGCCTCTCCTCCATCCCCTAGAAGTACACCCCCGTCTTATTAAGGAGCTTTTAAAGTTTTTCTGAATGTATAGACATTTCTCGGGTTCCTACCTTTGTCTCTGATGGACCATTTTCCATTTAAGACATTTTCCTGTATAAGACAGTTTTATAGCTGGTTCCTTTTAGGGTAAAGAGTCTTAAGAGAGTTTTATTGTGTCTATGGCAGGTTTGGGAAAGGTAAGAAATGGGTCCTTTTTCCTCCTAATGTTTTTGGCACTTAAAACATAAAATTCATTATCCTATTAAAAAATTAAATTCAGCTTTGCTAATCCAGAAATTGTTCCCAAATGAAAACTTGTTTTAAGTCCACCCCTTAGTTTCCTTATTTTACAAGGTCTCTCTTCAGGGACCAACAGGGGCTTAGAGAGCCTTAGTTAGATTAAAGGGAGACCCTACCTCTTAAAACCAGTTTTCATTTATGCAAACAAGGACAATTAAGGGAACCCTGACCCCACAGGCTCTCAAGTCTTCCCAAGGCCAGAATCGAAAGAAAATTAAAATTTGAATGCTGAATATTCTGGCTCTACTCTGGCCTTTTTTCTGGTTCCCTTCCAAAATGCACAAATCATACCCTTGTCTGCTCCAATTCAGTCTCCAAACCTGGTGCCTGTGCTCCTGGCCCCCCTAGCATCATGCTATCCCAGGAGTATCAGGACCAGACACATCCACAGCCAGGCTCATGGGTCTCAGACAGCAACTTGAGTTAAAGCTGAAACTCATCCTTCTTCTCTGTGTTTTCTGGTTTAAAAGCTGCACTTATATTTTAGCCTTATTATTTTCTGTAGTTCCGGAGAGATGGTGGGTTGCCATTCTGGTAGGAAAATCTGAGTTTTCTTATCTTTGACCTAGAAGAGATTCTTTTTGGACCAACCTGCGAAATTGGTAGTTAGGTCTATGGAAAGTGGTAGGATTTTTTTTTTTTTAATCCTGTGCAAAGGAAAAGAGGTGCTTTGTGGGAAATCACTAATGAGAAGGCTAACCTGCAGCACCAGAGAAACCTTTCCAAGTGCTAGGCAGGAGAACTGAAGAACTCTTTCAGTGAAGTGAGTCAGCCTAGAAGAGGCAACCCACAGTCTTGATTTTTGTTGCTGTTTCCTGACCTGTTCTTGCCTGTCACCTGGGCCTACACAGGTCCCAAGCCAACGGGGCTTTCATACCCAAGGATCTGTTTCCTTGCTGAAAATGAAACCCTATCTTTCACTTTACATTCCTTTCAATCCAACTGATCAAAACTGGTACCCACACTTGCCCTTTCTCCCTCTCTCCAGCACACTCCCCTCTAAGAAAGTAAAAGCAAAGCTTTCTTAATGGCAACACTTTGGGCCTGTTCTGTTGCTCCTGCCTTATTTCTCTTTCAACCCTGTACATGACTCGTGTTCACCATCCCCTTGATCAGTGTCCATCCGCGCTAATTTGCATCATGAACTGAACAGTGTGTGAGTGGTCACCTACTAAACCCAGCTCTGGGGGCAGAGCTGTCTTCCCCATCTCTGGTGCTCCTAACACCTGTGAGATGGTCCTGTCGAGAGGACTAGGAACCGATAGGAGGAGAGTCCTTCTCGGCAGAGCTCACTGCAAACAACTGGAATTGAGGTTGCACACTGTGATTTTTACACCGAAAAGCCAAAAGGAGCTGGCCATCCAGGGCCTAGGGAGACCAGCCTTCCTCAGCTATGCTTGCCGAAACCAGCATGATGCTTCAAAGAGCCCTGCTCCACCCCTCATGGCATGGATCCTTTTCCTGGTGTGGACTCTGAAGGGTCAGTCTTCGGGGAAGAGAGGTGGGGTGGGGCTACTAGCATCCCAATTTAGAAAATAGAGGAGTTTGTAGCCAGCAGCCTGTAAACTGGAAACACTGGTCTCAGCCAACCTCCTCAGGGCGCCCTGGCTTCTCCCCAAGGAGATGAGGAGCGGTGATGCCAGCACCGGGATGCGCAGAGCACTGGAAGGGCTGGTGCAGATCTACTTCCCATGCAGAAGAGAAGTCACATCTTCCAGGGAATCGCAATGTTGTGGCGTCTGACTTGTATGTCACATTTGTGTAAAATGGTATATTCTTTAAAATAGTGTTGATAACTGGAATATTGTATGTATGCTTGGAGATGCTTTGTGTGAACCTAAGACTGTCACTCAACAGATGTTGGATTGGGGAAAATCCAAAGCACAACTTCAAAATAAAATACATTTTTAGGTTTCGATGCTGCAGTTCATATCCCTTCTCTCCTCTCTGAAATCTCTGATTCAGGACTCCAGCTGCCCAGGAGGGATTTTGATTCGTCTGTGCTAACAGAGCCCTGCCTGGCAACAGAGAGAGCAACGAGATGACCTTACAGCCAGCCACCTTCTCCCTCCCCACCAAGGCACAGCACACTTGCATTTAGAATGGGAGGTTTTTCCCCCAGCATTTCCATTTAGCCTGTGTGTGGATTCTCATAGGTTTTGTAGAGAGTCTTCCCGCTCACCATTGGACTGCCTGTTGCCATGAGAACCGTTTCCTTCACAGAATCCACCTTCCTTGTTTTCAATAAGGACTGTTCTCATTTCTATCTCTAGTCAGATTTCCTCACTTCAGGGAGTGGGGCCTAAGAAGTTGCTTAGAAACTTGGCAAGCTACAACCAAGGGTGACTAGAGATTCTCTTTCTTCCACAACCAAAGCCCTGAGTCATTCTGCCCTTGACAGCCCTCTGCCTCTGGGAGAAAAGCTGACCAATATGCTTGTGCTGTTGGTGGGAGTGGGGGATACAGGTGATGTTTTCTCTCCTACAGATTGTGAGTCTAGCAGAGCTTAAGTTCAAGGGTGAAGTTATTTCAAGGTAACAACTTCAAACAAATCCTAGAGCCCCTAGGGCCAACACTTATTTTTAACAGGCTTGTTCTAATAAAAGATGCCCCTGGGGATGGATCACATCTCTCCAAGTGGGTACCCTATGTTCAGTGGTAATGCAAGGAATCCTACCCCCAGCTCTAGACAGAACACTTTACAACCCCTTCTTAGGTTTATCATCCCTATCCGTTATTCATATATCTTCTATTCAGCTCTGCTATGCCCTTCCAGCCTACTGTCTCTTCCCTTCCCCTGTTTTCATGGAACAGCTACATCTTGAGCTTCTCTTGCTGGGCCCTTGGCCTTGGGTAAGTCAAGGCCAAGGCTGCTGTGCCACTCTGTGGTAGGAATGAGTTCTCCCTGACTGCAGGGAGAATGGGGATGGCCAGGAGCACCCCATAATAGCTGCGACATGGAGCCAGTTTGTAGGCTGTGAGCAGGGGACCAAAGAGCCCCTTTTCAGAGGGTCCTGAGGCAAAGGCAGGCTATGCTTTTTAGGTCCTCTTTATCCATATATGGTTCTTTTTATCTCATATGTCCTGATGGGGGCTGGATGGAAACTAGTGGCAATGAACACTGTCAAAACACAAGTCCATTCCTTCCAGATAGAAACCAAAAATGGAGACCAGATGTATGTGAATTTAGGAAACAGTCTTTTAAGACTATCTAACCTAAATGTTTATATCAAACTTGTCCAACCCACAGCCCAGGATGGCTTTGAATGTGGCCCAACACAAATTCATAAACTTTCTTAAAATATTGAGTTTTTTTGCAATTTTTTTTTAGTTCATCAGCTATCATTAGTGTTAGTGTATTTTATGTGTGGCCCAAGACAATTCTTCCAATGTGGCCCAGAGAAGCCAAAAGATTGGAATCCCCTGATTTATATTCATAGGTATATGACGTTTCCTTTTACTCAGGAGTTAGCAACCTTGGCATATTATATATACTAAAGACAGTCATTTAGTCAATCAACATTAAGCTTCTCTCTGTACAAGCACTGTCATATGGTACTGAACAGAAAAAAAAAAAGAGCTAATGGAGCTTTCTAATGAGGAAGGACAGATAAAGAAGCAAAATGAGTATTACCCTGAAAATGAAACTAATAAGATAGGAGTTGTTCAGGAAATGAAGTATTCTGCTTGATCTGGCAAGGCTGATATGACTGGTAGACATCTAAGTGGAAATATCAGGTAGACCCTTGGATGTATGAATTTGGAGTTCTGGGGGTAGATAATACCTGAAAACGTATTAGGAGCTATTACATTATAGATGTATTCAAACAGAGATTCCCAGGAAGAGCGTGGAGATGGAAAAAAGAGAAGGTCCCGATCATTAGAAATGCAGCAGAGGGGGAGGGCGCAGTGGCTCACACCTATAATCCAGCACTTTGGGAGTCCAAGGCGGTGGATCACCTGAGGTCGAGAATTCGGTACCAGCCTGACCAACATGGAGAAACCCCGCCTCTACTAAAAATACAAAAAAAAAAAAAAGTATCTGGGCGTGGTGGCACATGCATGTAATCCCAGCTACTCAGGAGGTTGAGGCAGGAGAATCGCTTGAACTCGGGAGGTGGAGGTTGCAGTGAGCCAAGATCACGCCATTGCCCCCCAGCCTGGGCAACAAGAGTGAAACTGTCTCAAAAAAAAGAAAGAAAAGAAAAAAAAAAAGAAATGCATCAGAGGAAGGGGGCCAGCAAAGAAGGCAGAATGAGCAAGTGGCAATGAGGTAGATGGCTGGGAAAGCACAGGGTCACAGACAGCAGGAGAGGACAATGCTTCAACAAAGCAGGGAATCTGCTGTTGAATGCCAATGGGGTAAGGTGAGGGTGGCATAGAAAGGGAATCATTGGACAAGAGCATTTTCAGCAGAGGGGGAATGAGTCCAACTGGAGTGGGTTAGGTGGCAAATGGGAAGGGAAGAGGCAGTAACTTGACAACTCGTTGAATGGGGAGCATCGAGAGACAAGGGTAAGATGGGCAGTGCAGAGGTGCATTTGTTGGTGGGGTGGGCAGGATGCAGTAGAACGGGAAGAATGTGCAGGAGAGGAGAGGGTGAGCTGCAGGGTACAAGCGGGAGGGTTGGCCATGGCCACTAGAAGAGGCTCAAGAAGAGGCACTTCCTGCTGTCGCGTGGGAGGGAAGGCAGGTGAGTACAGACACAGGGCAGGCAGTGGATGTGGGGGAGGAAATGAGGGGGTTCCCTTCTGATTGCTTCTTTTATCTAAGCGAAGTTTAAGGCAAGGTCCTTAGCTGACAGTGTAGGAGGGAACAGTGCAGAGGAGGTTTGAAGAGTGAAGACAATGAGAGAAACACTTGCTTTTCCTCGAAGAGAGACGACGCTGGCACCGGCGCCGATTTCCTTCAGTGGCCTGGATGCTGCCTCACAGCTTGTCCCACTGCTTGGGGCCATAGCAGCAAGATTGGCTGCAGTGTTTGTCCCTCCTTCTGCACCCAAAGCTCCTAGCCAGAGCTGACCCCTGAAGGTGACAAAGAGCTGGGCTCTGAGACCTCGTCCCTCAGCCCTTTGCCCTTGTGACTGAGCACAGCAAAAACGTATGGCCTGGCAATGCCCCCCAGCCTCTTCCATATGCACCCCAACCAGCACCCGAGTCCTTTCCCCTCCCCTTTAAGGCACTGGGCCGGCGAGTCAGTTGTGAAAAACTGGCTCAGGCCCCTTAGAGGTGGAAAAAGAAATTAATATCTTTTCAGAGCAGACCAGGTGCCAGGAGCTTCATCTCATTTTACTTTCAAACCAGCCCTATGAGAAACGTCGAGTGACGTGCTAGGGTCATCCACAGTAGGTGGTAAAATCTGAACTCAAACCTCCATGGCAATGGAGCTAGCCCCTGCCCTTCTTACTATACTTTCAGCCTCTTTGTAGAAGTCACATGAGATTTTCTTTCTGACAGCTGCTGTCAAGGGCCGCCCTCTTCCACCTCTGGTCCTTGCACTACCCTTGGATTGCCACTTCTATTTCTAGGACTCCTCAGAGCCACTTGGGAACACGTGGTGGGGACTCTTACAGACTTCCTCTTCCCTTCTGGAGCCCGCCAGCCCCCTGCACCTTCTCGGATGCAACCGGCTGTGCTGCCCGGCTGGGGCACAGGCAAGACATTGCTTCACTGTGTCCACACAGAGGATGTGACCTCACAGAGGATGCGCAAGGAAACTTGATCTGTCACGGCACATGGCTCCAGGCCACCTCTACCTCTCTCCCTTTTCACAGCCTCAGTCCGGCTCTTCTCATGCTTCTGTGCCTCTGCACATGTGCCCACAGCCTGGAATTCCATTCCCCCAGCCCCCTCTCCTCTGCCCAACTCCCCTTTTCCTAAAGTCTGGCCAAGCAACCCTTCTGGAAAGCCCTTCTTGATCACCTTCCTCCCCGCTGCGCGTCTGCCACTCATAGCATCTGCCATGCCATCCTGGACCTCCAGGCTCCTGATGGGATGCCCACCTTTACATCCTGAGCACACAGTGCCTGCCTCATAGCAGGTGCTAGACACATGGTAGTTTCCTTTGAATGTGCTAAATATGCTGGGAAAGAGATTGACGGAGAGAGGAAAGTAAGAGTGCTGGTGAGGACCCAGCAGGTTCATCAGGGAAAAAAGTGGGTAAACATTACGGATTGTCTAAGTTATGTAGCAAACCTCGGTGCCCTAAAGCAACAAAGGCTGATTTCTCACCAAAGCCAATGTCCCTTGTGGACCAGCAGGGGAACTCTGCTCAGGACAGTCACTCAAGGACCCAGACTAACAGAATCACACTGCCAGAAAGCAGAGTTCTGGGAGGGTCTTGCATCAGGAAATAAATGCTTTGGTGGGGAACTCACATGCTCCCCCTATCACAAAGTAACTAGGATGTGCAGTTCTCCCATGTGCCAGGCAGGCAGAAACCTGGGAAGACTAGGCTGGGTGCAGTGGCTCACGCCTGTAATCCCGGCACTTTGGGAGACTGAGGCAGGTGGATCAGGAGGTTGGGAGATCTAGACCAACCTGCTCAATCCACCTCACCAACCACACAGTGAAACCCCATCTCTACTAAAAATACAAAAAATTAGCCACTGGCTCACGCCTGTAATCCCGGCACTTTGGGAGGCTGAGGCAGGTGGATCAGGAGGTTGGGAGATCAAGTCCAACCTGTTCAATCCACCTCACCAACCACACAGTGAAACCCCATCTCTACTAAAAATACAAAAAGTTAGCCGGGCATGGTGGTGCATGCCTGTAGTCCCAGATACTTGGGAGGCTGAGGCAGAAGAATCACTTGAACCCAGGAGGTGGAGGTTGCAGTGAGCTAACATCATGCCACTGCACTCCAGCCTGGGTGACAGAGTGAGACTCCATCTCAAAAAAAAAAAGCAAGCTGGGAAGACTGGGTGGAACATGAGGATCTCAGGCACTCAGGCACATTCCTCCTGGTCCTGATGTGAGAAGTTGCAGCAACTCCTCCAGCTGGAGGTGTTATGGGGAGTTCTCTTTATCTGAGCACTAGGCAGTTCTCAGCTCTGCTCCTGTTCTAGTGTCACTGTGGGAGGGGTGGGGCTGGCGGAGGAAACCACCAGGTGTGGCCATGGGAAAGTCCCTCCAACATTCTATAGAAACATGGAATTTCCTGGTTTTAACCATTTCATATCCAACTGCCATCTCTGAGCTGACCAGAGCAGGACAGACCCCTCCAGCCTCCTAGGACATTTGATGTGGGGCATCGAGTCCTGGCTGGGAAGTTGGCACCTGGGTGCCAGCCCCAGCAGTCTCTGAAGAGCATGGGTAAATTACTGAAGTGTGTGGGCCTCCATGCCTTCAATGCCTTTCTGTAAAATGCTTTCCAAGCTCCCAAACAATTCCAAATATATCCATGTCATCCAATCAACCCACAGAGTAGCTGTTACTCTGCGGGTGAGTGAGCTGGCTGGGAGGGGCTGCATGCTGTGTGCTCAGGTCACACTGGAAGGCATCAGCTGGGTCCCCGCGCTTGCTCTCGGACCTCTGCAGGCCTCCTGGGAAGGTGACTCAGATCCAACTTCTAGGACTGGATCGGCATAGCTCCCACACTTCCTTGGGGTTCCTGGGTGTGGGAGCATGGACTTCCCAGGCAGCTTTCCACTTAGTTAACTTGCCCAACCTGCTCTGTTGACTCTGGGAAGAGCCCTGAACTTCCCTGCTCCAGTGAACTGTGGGAGATGCCAAAACAGCACCCAGCTGCCCATCAAGATTACCAGAAGGGCCCCAGTTCCTGGCTTCTCTGTGGCTCACACTCTGGTCCTATTGCCTACCCTTGGGAACTCAGAGCATCCTCTTTCTCTTTTCTGCTGAGCTGGTGGCTGCACCGAGTTGCCTCTGTCTCTTTAAGAGAGAAAGAGAGAGCGAGAGACGGAAATCAGGAAGTGCGAGAGAGCTGAGAGCCAGGACTCAGTGCTGAGCTTGGTGTCCCACCGCCACAAGGAGGCAGGGAAGAAACCCACTAGTCCCAGCTCCTGGGGTGGCACAGACATTGCAACTGGCCCTGCCTGTGGGTCCTAGGGGCCCTTGGCTACCAGGAGGCTAAGAACACTGCTCATGAATGACAGTGAGCCCTGAAAGCTCTGGGGGTGTCACCCAGTCCCACAAGCCTGCATCCCCTGCAGTGGAGATGGGGTGAGTGTGCAGCGTGCGGAGGGGGGTGGGGGTGGAATGAGGGGCCAGACAAGGGGCAGCTGCAGGGCAGCTCAGCCGGGTGCAGGGGTGTGGGCTTGTTGGCAGCGGTGCTCTCACATAGAGCGTTGTGTGTGGCATGGAGGTGAGCCACCACGGGCCAACCACAAGCCCTCCCTGGGCTCTGCTTACCAACACCCAAAGCCAGCGATCAGCACCCAGCGCCTGCCCTCACCTTTCCCGGGGTCTTTCTCCCTGGCCGGAGTCTCAGGAGTAGGAGACGCTGGGAAAGGCTCCCTGAACAGTTTGGGAATAGAGCTGGAAACCCCCAGCCCAGCCCTGTGGGGGAAGGTGACAAACAGGAAAGGGTTAAAGGGCTAGGGCCGGCGGCCTTTGATGGAGGCTGAGAAGCAACTGCACTGAGGGGCGCCTCTCATCCGCCCTCCTCTTTCCGGTGTAGCTCAGCTCCTGGACGTGCCACAGACAGAAAGCATAACATACACTCGCCAGGAAGAGCCTTTGCCTGACTCAGGGCAGCTCAGAGTGTGGGGTAAGTGCACTTGGCCACAGCAGAGCCCTGAGGAGGGAGGGGAGGGGAGAGGTGGGTGGGTGGTGTCTCACATGCTTCACTGTCCACTGCTCATTCATCCAACCACTGGCTGAGGGCCACTGAGCCCTTCTTTGCACCAGGTGCTTGGGGTGGTGGGGGGAGGATCTGCAGAGCGTGCAGAGTTAAGCCAGATGTGCCACAACCAGAGCTCCCGGGCACAGAATCCAGGGGCACACCGCTTGTCTGGGGGTCTGCGCTTTGCACCTCACTGCCTATTATCCCAGAGTCCTGAGCTGTTCCTTGCCCCAGTATCAGAGCCCTTGGCCTTGATTTCAGCCTGCTGTGCTCCAACCCCAGCCCCAGCCCCCAGACCTGCTGGCTGCCTCCAGCCTCAGCGGGGAAAACCAGACCCACTCATTCATGCTGAGCTACTGTGTTGTCTTCAGGAAGCCTCTCAGTACCTCAGTTGCTTCTGTGTAATGTCCGCTCCTACCTGATCTGAAACTAGGAGTTGACCACCGATCTCTTCAAGGGGCCTCTGGCTCAATGAAATGACATTATCAAGGATTTGCATTTTTAAAAAAGATTACACAGAGAAAAAGTTCAGAGCGAAGGAACATAGGATTCCAGGCATGGCAACCCTCAGTTTGAGAACCTGTAAGATGTTAGAACACGAAGATGCCTTTTCTAGTCTAGCGTTATTTAAAAGTATTTAAGTGGCCAGGCATGGTGGCTCACACCTGTAATCCCAGCAATTTTTTGGGGAAGCCCATGTGGCCGGATTGCCTGAGCTCAGGAGTTCAAGACCAGCCTGGGCAACATGGCAAAAACCCATCTCTACTAAAAATACAAAAGACAGCCAGGTGTGGTGGTGCACACCTATGGTCCTAAGCTCCTCAGGAGGCTGAGTTGGGAGGATTGCTTGAGCCCAGGGGGTGGAGGTTGCAGTGAGTCATGATTGTACCACTGCACCCCAGCCTGGATGACAGAGTGAGACCTTACGTCAAAATAAAAAAAAGAAAAAGGAAAAAGAAAGTATTTAAAGGATGGTGGCCCTTCTAATGCTTCTGTCCCCAGGTATCCCAAAAAGGCCAGCACTGGCCTTATTTTTCAAAGAGAAATTGAGTTTAACTTCTGAGGATACACTTTCTGGTACTAATTGCTTTAGGAGAACTAGGCTTTGGGGAAAAGATGAGGACAAAGATGGGAAACAGAGTTGTAGGGGGTTTCAGATTCTCCCAATGGCTGAATGATGAATTTTGCCTCCCCTATACCCTGCTCTCACACACACACCCACACCCTTCTCCCCAACGCCCTACACACATACACACACACACACTCTCACACACACACACACACACACACACTCTGAAGCAGCCCCATCTCTCTTGGAGCAGTACTGGCCCGGCTGTCAGCTCACAGCAGCAGGAAGTGGTGGGCCTGGCAGGCAGGCCAGCGGGGGCTGGGGGAGTGGCTCTGGACTCATGTTGCAATCCTGGAGATTTGTGGTGGTGTGGGAGATGCTCCCTGACCCTGGGCCCTTCCTCCTATACTGTTTCTGTTTCCTGGGACAATCTCAAGCCTGGATGCCAAAACCCCAGAATCTTCAGTGCTGGGGAGAGGTGGTAGAGACAAGAGGTTTGTCTCTGCAGAATGACCTGCCTCAGGAGGGGCTTCAAGGGAACGTGGGGAGCCAGGACAGGCAGCAGGTGGAACAGGTGCCGGCTGTGGGCTGAGGGCTCAGTGGGGGCCCTCTTGTTGTGCTGTGCGTCCTTTTGGGGAAGTTACTTAACCTTTCTGTGCTTCACACTTCCCCCGCTCCCTTGCTTGTGGAATGGCCACATGGAGCCCTTCTTAGGGTAGCCTTGGGGCACAGTTACAGGTCAGGCCACCAGCGGCCACCCTGTGCCAGGAATGGAATCCTGGGCCCCCAGCATGCTCTTTCTCTAGGCAGAAGGTGACCAGCCAGCTCAGGGCAGGAGATGCAGAGCACAGCCAATTACCTGTGGCACACAGATGACCTGCTGGGGCAGGGGGCCACTGCCAGTGTGTACAAGGCCCGCAACAAGGTAGGAAGCAACCCTGGCCAGGCCCTGTCCAGCCCAGCCTTGGCCCCCTCATGCCTCAGAAGCTGGCCCAGTCAGCCCCCAGTGGGCATTGAGGGTGGTGGGACAGGGACCTCTGGATGTTGTGTAGCACACTCATACTGTGGGTTTGAGCAGAGGCATAGGGAGCTGAAAACGGCTCCTTGAGAGGATGCCTCTGTCGGGCACGAGTTGGAGCAAGAGAACTGTGAAGTAACAAGGCAAACATCCGAGGAAGGTAACAGCAAATGGAATCTAGGAATAGCAGAGTGGGGAATTAGGCCTTGTTTGGATTTATCCTGCGAGAATGTATGAGATGATATCCACTCTGTCTTATTCAAGAGTGGTAGCCGGCCGGGCACGGTGGCTTATGCCTGTAATCCCAGCACTTTGGGAGGCCGAGGTGGGCAGATCACGAGGTCAGGAGATCGAGACCATCCTGGTCAAGATGGTGAAACCCTGTCTCTACTAAAAATACAAAAATTAGCTGGGCATGGTGGCGTGCACCTGTAATCCCAGCTACTCAGGAGGCTGAGGCAGAGAATCGCTTGAACCTGGGAGGCAGAGGTTGCAGTGAGCTGAGATCTTGACACTGCACTCCAGCCTGGGTGACAGAGCGAGGCTCCGTCTCAAAAAAAAAAAAAAAAAAAAAAAAGAATTGGAGCCATACAGACCAGGTTCCAATCCCTTCCCTGCTGCTAACCCCAGGGAGTGTTAGCTGCCCTGTGATGATTGTCAATAGCAATTGTAATAATGACAACAAGCCATCCCCTGCAGAAGATCAGAGTGTCAGGATCTTGTCACCTCCCAGTGCTGGACTCTCTACCCCTTGAGAGGGAAAGGCGGTGCGGATGGGAGCCCCCATCCAACCAGGCTAATCTCTGGGGTTGGGCTGGCCGGAGAGGCTGAATGGAGGCCCAGGAGAGGGTGGCTGCTCCCCTGTGGGAGTGGGACATGTGCTAATCCCATGCTGTCTCCCACTGCTCCCTCCCCAATGGCAGAAATCCGGAGAGCTGGTTGCTGTGAAGGTCTTCAACACTACCAGCTACCTGCGGCCCCGCGAGGTGCAGGTGAGGGAGTTTGAGGTCCTGCGGAAGCTGAACCACCAGAACATTGTCAAGCTCTTTGCGGTGGAGGAGACGGTAGGTCCGGTGCTTGGTCAGAGAATGGTCTTGTCCTTGACCCTTATGGTCTGGGGAGAATCAGGCCACATGATAACAGAGATTTGGTCCCATGCTCATCAGCAGGTCAGAGACAGCAGGCAAATTGCAGAAGGGAGCAAAGGGGGCAAGGGGGTGGGGGCGGTGCACTGGAAAGGAACGATGGACAGAATCAGTACCTAAGCAGAGGGCTTCCTGGAATAACTGACTTTGGATTCCAGTGTGCGGGATCAGTGTGAGGCCAAGGAGGGAAGGCCAGGCCAGAAGCTGGGACCTGGAGAATGGGGGCTCTGGGCTCCAGGCTGAGCCACTTCTTCCTGGTGGGTGGGGAGGAGAAGTGCCGTCCTCATGAGCCCCTCTCTGTCCCACCCATAGGGCGGAAGCCGGCAGAAGGTACTGGTGATGGAGTACTGCTCCAGTGGGAGCCTGCTGAGTGTGCTGGAGAGCCCTGAGAATGCCTTTGGGCTGCCTGAGGATGAGTTCCTGGTGGTGCTGCGCTGTGTGGGTGAGCCCCTCCCTGTCCCTGCCTCCACCCTCAGACCAGCGGCAGGCCTGGGACAGATGCTGACAGGACTCAGGTGTCTGACTCCTGCTAATCATTCCATTTAAAATTCCAACTTAAAAATTAAACCTAAAAAAGATTGTACACCAATGTTCACAGCAGCATTATTTACAATAGCCAAAAGGTGGAAACATCCTAACTGTGAAAACAAAATGTGGGAGGTACCTAAAATAGAATATTATTCAGTCTTAAAAGGAAAGAAATTCTGACACCTGCTACAACATGGATGGACCTTGATGACATTATGTTAAGTGAAAAAAGCCAGACACAGAAGGACAAATCCTGTATGATTCCACTCATACATTCATAGAAACAGAAAGTACCATGGTGGTTTCCAGTGGCTGGGGGCAGAGGAGAATGAGGAGTTGTTTAATAAGTATGGTTTCAAGTTTGAAGAATGAGGCCGGGTGCAGTGGCTCATGCCTGTAATCCCAGCACTTTGGGAGGCCCAAGTGGGCGGATCATTTGAGGTTGGGGGTTTGAGACCAGTCTGGCGAACACGGTGAAACCCTGTCTCTACTAAAAAAATACAAAAATTAGCTGGGTGTGGTGGTGCATGCCTGTAGTTCCAGCCACTTGGGAGGCTGAGGCATGAGAATCGATTGAACCTGGGAGGCAGAGATTGCAGTGAGCTGAGATTGCACCACTGTACTCCAGCCTATGTGTCAGAGTGAGACTCTGTCTCCAAAAAAAAAAAAAAAATTGGAGAATGAGAAAAGTTCTAAGATGGATGGTGTGATGGTGGCACAGCAGCGTGGGTGTGCTTAGTGCCAATGAAGTGTACACTTAAAATTGGTTAAAATGGGAAATTTCGTTATGCATATTTTACCACAATTGAACACCTAATCAAAAGAAGTAATACAAAGAGGGGTGCTGCCCTTGAGGACACAGAGCCACCACCCATCTTGGTTTCCTAGAGAATCCAGATGGTACCTCCATACCCTAGTGTCCTTGAGATGCCCCCTAAGCCCCATGCATGTCTCTGTCCTTCTGCCTGTCCCATGGCTCTGTCAGCCCATGGGAACTCCTGTCTCTCTGGATGCAAGGACAGCCTTCCCACCAAGATGAGCCTCAGACACTAGACTGTCCCCGACCAGAGCCAGCTAGTGGCCTCCCCGTCTGTCCCCAGTGGCCGGCATGAACCACCTGCGGGAGAACGGCATTGTGCATCGCGACATCAAGCCGGGGAACATCATGCGCCTCGTAGGGGAGGAGGGGCAGAGCATCTACAAGCTGACAGACTTCGGCGCTGCCCGGGAGCTGGATGATGATGAGAAGTTCGTCTCGGTCTATGGGACTGAGGAGTACCTGGTGGGTGAGCTGCTCGAGACCCGCTGCCCTATGCTGAGGGCTCCCCTTGCCTTGTGAGCCCCCCAGAGCCCCCATGAGGGGGTGTGGCCCACCTCCTGCTTCCACAGGAGTTATGTCTCTCCCCTGTACCCCAACCAGAAGAATGCATTCTGTTCTCTAAGATGGAAAAGGTGAGGCTGACACCCATTTTTAAGATGACAAAGAAGGATTTGAACAGTTCTGTTTTCACCTGCAGGCGGTGAAAGGGGGTCTGACAGGTCTCAGGCCCTTGCCAGCCCTCCGGCTCCATGGCCTCATTCTGGTTCTCTCCGGCAGCATCCCGACATGTATGAGCGGGCGGTGCTTCGAAAGCCCCAGCAAAAAGCGTTCGGGGTGACTGTGGATCTCTGGAGCATTGGAGTGACCTTGTACCATGCAGCCACTGGCAGCCTGCCCTTCATCCCCTTTGGTGGGCCACGGCGGAACAAGGAGATCATGTACGGTGGGCCACAGGGCAGGGAATGGGGCGGACTGGCAGTCCCCTGGCCCTTCCCCCACCGGTCCTTGCTGTGTCTTCTGGTCCCCTCACACTCCATGGCCCTCCTCTGGTCCACCCCCCAACCCAGGCTCTTTGTAGATCTTTTTTTGTTAATGGGATCAAACAAGCAGCTGAGCTCTGCCCAGGGCTGATGGGAGTCTGTGAATATGCTCTATGTTAGTTCGGTGCTTCACTCTAGCCCTCTGCTCCCTTACTGCTCTCCTCGTCTCAACCGAAGCTCAAAGAGTGCCTTGCCTAAGGTGGAAGAGCTCACCAGGGGCAAAGGTGGCAGCTTCCTGTTCCCAGGTCCAAGGTCTTTCCATGGTTTTGTGCCATCGGACAGGGAAGTAGCAAGTGGCTGGAGACAGTAGCGGCTCCCTCTGAGTGCACAGCCCAGAGCAGAGGAGATGTCAGCTGGCTTAGTGGGAAGGTTGCTGCACCCACCTCAGCCCCGGGGTCCAGCTGTGTGGAACCTATATCAGGCCCGCAAAAGGGGCAGAAGACCAGCATGGATGGGGGTTGTCAGGGAAGGCTGGACTCTGAAGGGAAAGAAAGAGGAGAGGATACTGGGGCCATGCATAGCATGGGCAAAGGTGTGGAGGAGGCTGGCCAGGCTGAGGGAAGTGTAGCGGGGGGAGAGGCAGTGGACAGGGCAAAGGTGTCTCTACCTGAAGCAAAGGGCTCCAGGAGGAGTGCTGAGGCAAGGCGCTCTCACAGCTGAGAGCCAGGTTTCTCACACTCCATCTGTCAGGCTACTTTGGGGTAGCTGGGTGACTTGAACCTGTGCTCCGAGCCCTTTGTGCTGAGTGTGTCGTTGCCCGGCAATGTGATAGCTGGGGATCCCGCTGACCTGGCCTTCCTCCCCGCAGGTACCGGATCACCACGGAGAAGCCGGCTGGGGCCATTGCAGGTGCCCAGAGGCGGGAGAACGGGCCCCTGGAGTGGAGCTACACCCTCCCCATCACCTGCCAGCTGTCACTGTGAGTGGGACCCTGCTGGGGGGTGATGCTGGAGTCTGAGCTGGGTGTCACTTCTCTCTGCTAAGTCAAGACTTCTGAGGCCTGTTCCAGCAGGTTCCGGGCATGCTGCAGGCTTGGGCACACCACTTTCCCATCTGGTTGCTGGAACGAGTTCTTCCAGCTCTTCCTCCCCAACCCACCCTGCCCCACCATCTTGGTCCTAGCTCTTCAGGATATTCTCTTAGAACGCTCCTATTGCCTGCTTAAGGAGGATAGGTCTGGGCCCCCACCCCTGACAGTCTCCATGTCCTGGGAGGGCAGGGGGCTGCAGAGCCAGCTGGTGCCCATCCTGGCCAACATCCTGGAGGTGGAGCAGGCCAAGTGCTGGGGCTTCGACCAGTTCTTTGCGGAGACCAGTGACATCCTGCAGCGAGTTGTCGTCCATGTCTTCTCCCTGTCCCAGGCAGTCCTGCACCACATCTATATCCATGCCCACAACACGTAAGTGGGGGCGAGGGAGGGAAGCGGTGAGAACCTTCTCTACCCAAGCAGCAGTGCATGTCCAAAGCAGCATCTCCCACAGTACGTTCTGAGGAGTGTGTACATAGGAACGCTTCCAGGTCCAAACGTAGTTGGGAAAAGACTAGTTCTACAAAGTTAAAGCTAAACAGGTTTTCTTGCATGTACTTCAGAGAGTCAGTACCTTTTCTAATGCTAATATGCATTATACATCTGAGAAGTGTGTGCGTGGTGTATGTTGGCTGTACATTTCGTAAAGGTACTGCTCATAGTACCCTTGATTCCTGGATAATTTTATAGAACTAGGTAAATTTTAATGGCAGTGTGACAGGAAGAGGTGCAGAGGCAAAGGCTGGGTATTAGGACTCCTGGGACCTGTTCCCACTCTGTCTCCATCACTATAAGATGTGAACTCTCCCCTTGGTCTCTCCACCCTTGATGACAGAGAAAACCACCCCCGTCCCTCCCTCTGCAAAACAGAGCCCTGTCTATGGGCAACGCTTAGCTGGGGCTTAGGTCACCCTAGCCCCCTGCCTTGCCTACTGACACCCCCTGCCCTCTGCTCCCCACCACGGCTGTGTCTAGGATAGCCATTTTCCAGGAGGCCGTGCACAAGCAGACCAGTGTGGCCCCCCGACACCAGGAGTACCTCTTTGAGGGTCACCTCTGTGTCCTCGAGCCCAGCGTCTCAGCACAGCACATCGCCCACACGACGGCAAGCAGCCCCCTGACCCTCTTCAGCACAGCCATCCCTAAGGGGCTGGCCTTCAGGGACCGTGAGTAGAGCCACCTGGGCTGGATCTTTCTCCTCCCCACATTTTCCTCTGAGACAGGAGTTTGCAATCCAGGCCATTGGTTACTTTTCTTTGTGGGTGTTTCTTTGGGGCCACAGGGAGCAGGAGGCAGATGTGGGTTCTAATTCTGCAGACGCCTCTGAGATGCCACATGACGTGGGCTGGTGGCTTGACCTCCCTGGGGCTTACTGGCATCCTCAGAGCTGTGGAAAGAGCTCCAGTGGAAACAGGGAGATCTGGATTTAATGCACTTTCCATAATCTCTGATTTGTGGGGAAGCCTCAGGCAGTTTGTGTTGGAAGAAGCCCAAGTCTGAGCTCCTGGAAAGAAGGGAAGGGGGTCGGGGTCCAGAGCTTGGGCCTCTCTCCAAACTCTAGCAAAAATGTCCTTTCTTCTCACTTGAACAGTGCAAGTTTTATCCTCTTTCTCTGAGGCTAGGAAGGGGTATTCACCTCAAAACCTGTGGACAAGAGGGTGATTTAGTCCATTTTCAGCTCTTGGACATGAGGAGGTAGTTCTCAAAAGTGGCCGCAAGGTGGCAGTGAGGGATCACAACTTTAAGTGTGGCTAAGGCTGGCAAGGTGGGAGGCTCAGGGTGAGTTGTGAAGCCTGAGGTGGGAGATTGGCAGTGAGGGGTGAGTGTGAGCTGGAAATAATGAAAGATAAGCCGACCCAGCACCATACAGGCAGGCCCCTCAGACAGGGTCTTTGTCTGCAGCTGCTCTGGACGTCCCCAAGTTCGTCCCCAAAGTGGACCTGCAGGCGGATTACAACACTGCCAAGGTGAGGGGCAACCCCCAGGTGGCAGGGAGGGGCATGACCCAAGGGTAGGAGGTGTGGGACCTGGCCCTGTGCATCTCTGTGTTTCAGGGCGTGTTGGGCGCCGGCTACCAGGCCCTGCGGCTGGCACGGGCCCTGCTGGATGGGCAGGAGCTAATGTTTCGGGGGCTGCACTGGGTCATGTGAGTAATCATGAGGGCTGGGCACAGAGGGGGAGGCGGGCAGGAGAGGGAGGCGGACAGGAGGGGGAGTGGGCAGGAAGGGGAGATGGGTGGGGGGTGGGCAGGAAGTGGAGGTGAGCAGGAGGAGGGGGTGGGCAGGAGAGGGAGGTGGGCAGAGAGGGGGAGGCGGGCTGGAGGGGGAGGCGGGCTGTAGGTGGAGGCAGGCCGGAGGGGGAGGCAGGCCAGAGGGGGAGGCCGGCAGGAGGTGGAGGCCAGTATCCTGGGATGCTGTCTGCATGCACGGTGCTGAGTCCCCCGATCAAGGCAGCTCTGACTCAGTCTCCCCTTGGACAGGGAGGTGCTCCAGGCCACATGCAGACGGACTCTGGAAGTGGCAAGGACATCCCTCCTCTACCTCAGCAGCAGCCTGGGAACTGAGAGGTGGGTGTTCGCCTCAGGCCAGCTGGGACCTCTCAGCCCTGCCTTGTCTGCTCCTCACCCTAGATACTTCCAACAATGCACCTCTTCTCCCCCAAGCCAGGGCTACTGCCTTCCCTGCCCTCCTAGAATAGAGGGCACCCGCACCCTATCCCTTATCCCCACCTCACCAAATAACTGCAATGGCTCCCCCAAAACCCAGTCCCTCACCTGCAGGGGAAGGGGCCCATGGGGGCACAGACTCTCCAGGTACCAAGGTGGCCTCCCTATCCCAAGAAGGGGCTTGTGTCCTGCCAAGTCCTTCTCTGAATGATTTAGAGTGCTCACCCTATGCCAAGTGCCAGCAGAACTCTAGGGGGAGGACACACACCCACGCACAGTTCCTGGATGTGACCAGGGATGGAGATCCAGGTGGT
Organism: Homo sapiens; assembly: GCF_000001405.40. Taxonomy (NCBI): domain Eukaryota; kingdom Metazoa; phylum Chordata; class Mammalia; order Primates; family Hominidae; genus Homo; species Homo sapiens. The sequence continues at coordinate 206,480,947 of NC_000001.11, forward strand.
CTCGTTCTCCATGCCTCATCTCCTGCTTTCTCTGAGTCTTCAACTTATCCTTGCCTTCCTTGGGTTCCCTGCCCCAATCTTTGGAACCCCACTCCCTCCACTCCCTTGTCTTGGGCTAATAAGGGGGGATGGGTTGGAAAAAGAGAGAGACCGGGCAGGAGGAAGCCAAGTGGAAGGGTCTGGAGATGGGGAATGTGGGAAGACTTCATTGGCCAGAGCACGATTGAGAAGTAGGCACAGCACCCCAAATCCTGGAAGGCACGAGGCCATGGTACGGGTGAGGGTGGGAGCTCTGCAGCCTAGGGATGCCACTGGTGACAGGAGTCTTTGGGAACAGAAGATCAGAGACTGCCCATATGCCTGAAGGCCCCCTCCTCCCGCCACCCCCAGCCCTTGTCCTCAGGGAGCTCCAGGGAGTTTCCCAGCTGTGGGCTGACTCATGCAGCCCCGCGTGCCTCCTGCTTCGCAGCAGCAACTCAGTTGATGGGGCAGCTGGGAGGTGGAGGAGCAGGGAGGAGGAAGAGGAGCATCTCCAGATAACAGGGATGGAGTCTCCATCCAGACTGAGCCCCTCTCAAATGGTGACAGAGAGTAGGGTTCAGTCAGCAGAACTGCAAGTGAATCTCCTTTGAGCAGAGCTCTGTCCAGGGCACAGAGGGGGCTCCAGGGGTAGATGTGGCATCCTGTCATTCAGAGAGGCCCATGCTTCCTCCGGAGCAGCTAGCCCTTCCTGGACATGTGAGGGCTGATGGGATTGTTGGGTAAGAGGAGACCTGAGATGGGTAGAGGCAACCACGGAGGCCTTCCTGAAGGATGAGGCTTTTTTTTTTTTTTTTTTTTTTTTTTTTTTTGAGACGGAGCCTCGCTCTGTCGCCCAGGCTGGAGTGCAGTGGCGCGATCTCGGCTCACTGCAAGCTCCGCCTCCCGGGTTCACGCCATTCTCCTGCCTCAGCCTCCCAAGTAGCTGGGACTACAGGTGCCCGCCACTACGCCCGGCTAATTTTTTGTATTTTTAGTAGAGACGGGGTTTCACCGTTTTAGCCGGGATGGTCTCGATCTCCTGACCTCGTGATCTGCCTGCCTCAGCCTCCCAAAGTGCTGGGATTACAGGCGTGAGCCACCGCGCCCGGCCTAGGATGAGGCTTTTAAGGCCAGAAAGAAGAAGAATACCTCAGGCAGGAAGGTCTGCGCAGAGACAGAGAAGAAAAGGGCCCTGTTCGGGGGAAAGGAGGGGATGCTGGGGAGGCTTACTGAAGCCACAGTCATGATGGCAGATAGCCCAGAGCTAAGCCAGAGGCGGACAGAGGTGGAGGTGAGGAGGGGAGGAAAGAAGGCATAGAGGCCCTGAAGGAGTCCAGCTAGAGAGAGGTTGGACCCCAATAAAACAACCAGTAGAGAGCCATTGTAGATTCTTGACCTGGAAAGATGTGTTTGGGAAAGCTTTTTGGGTGTCTGTCTGCCCACTTGCCCTGGATGGACAGGCATGGTGGGGAATGGCACGCTGGCCTGGGTCTGGCGTCCTGGCATCCTGGTGTCCGCTGGCTGCTGTTCCCCTGTTCTGGCTCTGCAGCCTCCTCCAAGGTGGCCTCCGTGGTGTGTCTAGAGAGCTGGGGTCAGGCAAGTGCCTGCTTTGAAGCCTATTTCAGCCTCCCATCAAGGAGGAGGATGGTGAGCAAAAACAGTTGTGAGCAGGGAGCCAGAGGGCCAGGTGCAGCCTCTTCTCTTAGTCTGGGTGTGGCTCCAGCCCATTGTCACCTTCCCCTACCTGGGCCTCTGTGTCCTCATTTTCAAAATGAGAGGGTTGCATGATCTCTGCGGCCTCCCAGCTCCCACATGTTGCAAGCCCATTCTTGCCTGAACATCCCCAGACCTGTAGATTCTCCTAAGGGCTGAAGACACTAGCTCCACCCGCAGTGGAACCAGGTATTTTCATGAGCTGAATGTCACACTGGAGGAACCCAGCACCTCATGCCAAGTGGCCCACCTTTGCCCATCCTGGTGACCCACCTCTCCCCCAGTGTGCATATCCTGCCTCAGGTTCCCCAGGACAGGTCCTTTGGTAGAGCAACCTTGCCTTTGTCCCAAAGCTCCCTGGCCCTCCTGGGCAGCTGCTGCCATCCACAGGCACTGCTCAGGCAGCCAGGACGGGCTTTGGGAATCCTAGGGCTTCCCCCAGCCCCGCCACCAGGCAAGACATTCCAGGCAAGACTTCATCTCCAAGGTCCCTTTTGATCCCTATGAATATCTTATTGTGTCGCAGGAAGGAAATTTGTCTCCTCGTTTTATAGGTGAAGAGCCTGAGGCCTGGAGAGCTAAAGGACTAACCCAAGGTCATGCAGATAGCAAATGCCAGGACTAGGACTCGAACCCATGTCTCCTGACTCCCTGTGGAGATGTATTGGGTCCAGCCTCACCCTCTTCTGCCGTCAAATTTCCCATGCCTTAAAATCCATTTGTGCACTCAGTAACGCCTTCAGCATCCGTGCACTGACGGACTACCATGTGCCGAACACGTTGCTAGGCACGAGACGTACGAGGAGCAAAGCGACGGCACCCCTGTCTTCAAGGAGCCTGCAGTTCATTCCTGATTCTCTCTTTGCTCAGCTCCCCTCTCCTTCCCTGCTCCTCCATTCCCAAGCCAAAATACACAGCATACTTTTTAAAAATCATGATTGTTACTAAAATGTATATACTAATGGTAGAAAGTTAGAAAACAGAGATAAGCAAAAATAAGAAAATTAAAATCCCATAACCTACTATCTAGAGACAGGTTATCACACCTTAGGAGTACACATCCTTCTAGATATTTTTCTACTATGAGTAAACATTAACCAACATGAAATGATAGTGTATTTGCTGTTTTATAACCTGTTTTGGGGATCACATCTGCTGTCCCACCTTCTGGACTCATCTAGAGCTTCCCCTTGAAGTTGTTTGTCTTGTCCTTCTTTCTCAGCATTTCCTGTAAACTGGGAAGTTTTAAAAATTTTTTTTTAGTATTTTATTTTATTTCTTTTCTTTTTTTTCAAGGCAGGGTCTCACTGTGTTGGCCAGGCTGGTCTTGAACTCCTGACCTCAAGCAATTCTCCCACCTTGGCCTCCCAAAGTGCTGGTATTACCGGTGTGAGCCACCATGCCTGGCTTTTATTTTGTATTGTATTGTATTGTATTGTATTGTATTGTATTGTATTGTATTGTATTGTATTGTATTGTATTATTATTTTTGTAGAGACAGGGTCTCACTGTGTTTCCCAGGCTGATCTCAAACTCCTGGTATCAAGCAATCCTCCCACTTCTGCCTCCCAAAGTGCTGGGATTACAGGCATGAACCACTGTGCCAGGCCTAAACTGGGAGTGCACAAGGCTAGATGGATTCCAGTTGAACATTTTTTGCTAGAATACATTATTGATGATGCCGGGTATTGTATGTTGACATACCACTGGCTGGTGATGGCCTGATTCCTCTGCTGTACCGTTACATTGTCCCTGTAGAAGAAAGAAGCAGAGTGGTGTGACCTTGTCACCGTGCAAATGCCCACCCCATTATCAACCATCATTGCTTGTAAGGCTATGCCCCAGAGAACGATTTCACTGGGCAGCAAGATGATAATGTTCTAACTTCTGATATATCATTGCCTAGTAGTCTACAAAATATAGCTTTTCCCTCATCAGAAAGCTATTGGTTATCAAGAAATACAGTTTCTACTGGACAGGAACTTAATTCTTTCCCTTTAGTTACAAAGTTTCCTGGTAAGGAGATCATTAATAGCAGCCTTGCATCATGGGCCCGTGAATTTTCATAGACTCAAGGTGTTACAATCTGTCTCAACCTTTATTATTTGCAATACTCAACAATGTCACAACTTGGGTAAGCAGGGCCCTCGTCAGGATGGCGCCTCTGTCCCAAACACAAAACTTCCCAGAGACCCGGAGAGCCACCAAGGCTGTCCCACAGATGCTATGCCCAGCATGTGCCAACAGAGCTCTCTGCCTCCCACCTTGGCTGCTCCTAAGCCCCCAAATGTGGCCTTTCTCTTTGCTTCCCTCAAGGTTCAGCAGCGTGGCTGGAACGCCTGAGATCCAGGAACTGAAGGCGGCTGCAGAACTGAGGTCCAGGCTGCGGACTGTGAGTGAGGCTGGAGGGCAAGGGCTTAGCAGGATCAGAGCTGGGGGCCCGTGTTCCAGCCAGCCTGCCCACCAGTGCCCAGGCTGAAGACCCCACGGGGGTCTGCCTTTGTGCCCCACAGCTAGCGGAGGTCCTCTCCAGATGCTCCCAAAATATCACGGAGACCCAGGAGAGCCTGAGCAGCCTGAACCGGGAGCTGGTGAAGAGCCGGGATCAGGTACATGAGGACAGAAGGTCTGTGGGATTTTCCTTCTTTGTGGGGTGGGAGTGGGGGAGTGGGCAGCTCCAAAGGTCCAGTAACCTTTAGCCTTTTAGACGTCAGCTTGCATTCCCCTTTCTCTTGGCAAGGGTGCTAGGGCATGGGGGAGTAGAGGGAGATCCAGCAATAAACAAGAACCCCCCGACTGCCCCAGACACCAGCCAGGAGGAGAAAAGGATCTGGGGTCCTGCACCCATCTTGGAGTTTGAGGAATGCCTCGGGAATCTTAGCAGGTGCTATAATTCTGAATAAAAGAAGACTTTAGTTCCCTTTCTCTGTGTCAGGCCCTTGGGTAGGTCCTCTCACGTACAGCATCTCGTTGAATCCTGAAAACAATAATGATGCTATGATAATGCCCTTTTTATAGAACCTCAGTCAGTGAGGTTAACTTACCCTGAGTCACAGCCAGTAAATGACAAATGACAGAGGTGGCTTCAGGTCGGGTCTGTCCACCTCCAAAGCCTATGTTCTTGGCCTATGCCAGGCAGGGGTTTACAACCTTTAAGGCACCACTCTCCCTTTTAACAGACATAAAAATACCCCCCTCCCCCAGGCCCCAGCTGACTGTGGGGAGCCGCTGCCTACCTTGCCGCTTCTGACCAGGGGATGGGTGGTACCCAGCGCGGACCTCCTCCCCATTCTCTGCTGGTGCCTACTGTAATCTGGGCCTATCCCCATCCATCATCCCATGGCCTCAATTCTAAATTCAAACAGCTCTGAACACCACAGGAGTTTTTCTTAACTGTTTTGGCCATAAAACCTGACCTAAATCGAATGAGGCTCTTTATAGAATTTATCCCACTTACGGTGAATGTTCTTGTGGTTCTTTGGAGATGTGAATGTGTTTGATTAGGAGTTGATGCCCTGCTCGGGCCATTCCACAATACACTGTGTGGGTACCAAATTGCCTTTCTGATATCAGAAGACGATTCTCAATTCAGAGCACATTTGGCCCCGTCCTTTTGGATGAAGGCTGCAGATCTGAGGCCCCGTCCTTTTGGATGAAGGCTGCAGATCTGAGGCCCTGTCCTTTTGGATGAAGGCTGCAGATCTGAGGCCCTGTCCTTTTGGATGAAGGCTGAGGATCGAGGTCCTGTCCTTTTGGATGAAGGCTGCGGATCCCAGGCCCTGTCTTTTGGATGAAGGCTGTGGATCGAGGCCCCATCCTTTTGGATGAAGGCTGAGGATCAAGGCCCCATCCTTTTGGATGAAGGCTGCAGATCTGAGGCCCTGTCCTTTTGGATGAAGGCTGAGGATCCCAGGCCCTGTCTTTTGGATGAAGGCTGAGGATCGAGGCCCCATCCTTTTGGATGAAGGCTGCAGATCCCAGGCTCTGTCTTTTGGATGAAGGCTGTGGATCTGAGCCCTGTCCTTTTGGATGAAGGCTGAGGATCGAGGTCCCATCCTTTTGGATGAAGGCTGCGGATCCCAGGCCCTGTCTTTTGGATGAAGGCTGTGGATCCCAGGCCCTGTCTTTTGGATGAAGGCTGTGGATCGAGGCCCCGTCCTTTTGGATGAAGGCTGAGGATCAAGGCCTCATCCTTTTGGATGAAGGCTGCAGATCTGAGGCCCTGTCCTTTTGGATGAAGGCTGAGGATCAAGGCCCCATCCATTTGGATGAAGGCTGCAGATCTGAGCCCTGTCCTTTTGGATGAAGGCTGTGGATCCCAGGCCTTGTCTTTTGGATGAAGGCTGTGGATCTGAGGCCTGTCCCAGCCACTTCATCTTCCACCCTCATGTTCCTGGCGGGGCAGGCTCCTTCGGCTGGCAGAGCCCTGGAACAAGCCTGTGCTCTGTTCAGAGTCAAGCTCCAGAAATAGCAGAGATGGGGTCACTTGGAGGTGCTGCAGGGAGGAAGTGGAGCTACATAGGCCTGTGGGTGAGGAAGAACTTTTCCCAGACACTCCCGACTTCTCAAACAAAGTGTTTGTTTCCAGCCTGAAAAGGGGAAGGAAGAAATAATAATGACCTTCAACCCCAGAACAAGAAAGTCCTCGGGAGATCATCTCCCCAGTTCCTCCGCCTCCGGGCAGGACCGAGGCCTGTTGATTCATTCTTGTTTTCAATAAGGATTATTGATTCATTATTTATGTTAAGTTTCTGCTGTGTGCCACACATTGGGTAAACCAAGAAGCTATATTCTTCTGCTTTTTCCAGTTGACCAGAGAGAGATTTTAGCTCCCCTCTATCCCCAGCTGTCACTGCCAGACACGCTCTTAGGTTTCAGGGGCCTAGGCTCCTTCCCAGGGCCTAGTCTCACAACTTCTCAGGTAGTAAAGGCCACGTTCCTGTTGCCCGTCCTGCTTGGCTTCCTGTCTCTCTTATCTCCTACTTAACTCATGCTGCGAGTGCATGTGTGTGAGAGAGGAAGAATAAGCCATGAGAACGAGAGACGGCTGGCTGACTGTACGGGGTCTCAAATAAGCCTAGAGACGGGACAGCCACCTCCACTCCCAGACTGATCCCCCAAAACTGTGGCTGTGAGGCTCCTCCCCTATTCCACTGCCACCCTTCCCCTCCCTCCCTCTTTCCTCTGTGCTATTAGATTCTTCCAACACCTGGTCCCTGTCTCCTGCCCACAGCATCCAGCAGATTCAGTGCTGTTTGGACAAGATGAACTTCATCTACAAACAGTTCAAGAAGTCTAGGATGAGGCCAGGTGAGCCCGGGGAGGGCAGATGCCCCTTCTCTCTCCTCTGTCTCCCTTCTTTCGCCTTTCTTCCTTTTCACTGGTGCTACCAGTGGCCACTAACCTCCAGCTAAGTGGCCGCTAACCTCCAGCTGGTGGTTCTTGGAGGCCCACTAAGCGGATGGTTCTGTGCAGCTGCTCTAGGGGCAAGGCCCCTGTCTGCAAGCTGCCTGCAGGCCAGTGGGGGACATGAAACCTTTACATGCCTGCCTGTTGCCACATGAGAGACTTGGATCACATGGTTGGGGGATCCAGTGGGCCGGGACCTGGGTGCTGTAGGAGAGGTGGTCCTGGAAAGAGATCTCGCACCTTGGCAGGGCACTTTAAAGTATAGAATGTCACTATCCGTTGTGTCCTTGGGACACTGAGACAGTCAGGTTTTCCAGAAAAGGGGGGGTCAGGAGAAGTCCCATTTTGAGTCACTGGGTCAGGCATTTTGGCTGCTTGATCCATTAATCCTCACAAGGATGCTGTGGCAGGGGCAGCCCATTTACAGGCTCGGGGGTGGGAAGCTGCTTGTCCAAAGTGACTGCCATTGTGGGGTAGTGCAAGGGTGGGACCCAGGGAGGGCTGGTGAGGGGGTTGGAGGGAGCCTGCGGAGGCTCCAGTTGACTCCTCAGGTTGGGGAACTAACACACCAGGAACCAAACCTCCCCCTCCTCTCCCAGGCCCCAAGCATTTCCTAATCTGTAGGCTGAAGGTCTTGGGCTTTATTGCCAAATTCTCTTCTCTCCTTGGGATTATCTAAAAACCACTGTCCAATAGAAATATAATGCCAGACACGTATGTAATTCTAAGTCTTCTAGTAGCCAATTTTTAAAAAGTAGAAAGAAACAAGTGAAATTAATTTTAATGTGTTATTCAACCCAATATATCCAGTGTCATTTTAGCGTGTAATCAATATAAACAAAATCACTAAGGAAATACCTTATATTCTTTTTGTGTTATCTTCAAAATCCCACGTGTATATATACACATAAATATATAACTTATTTCCTTAGCAATTCTGTTTATATTGATTACATGCTAATATATATATTTGAGACAGGGCCTTTGTCACCCAGGCAGGAGTACAATGGCATGATCACTGCTCACTGTCGCCTCAACCTCCTGGGCTCAAGCCATCCTCCCATCTCAGGCTCCTGACTAGCTGGGACTACAGGATGCTTTCCCATCACTTCATTGTTTTATATTTCACATATATATATATAATTCATATATATATTATTCACATATATATATTATTCATATATATATTATTCACATATATATAACATTTATAACACATCTCTATTGGGAAACTAAATTTTATATATGTGTGTATATGTGTGTGTGTGTGTGTGTGTGTGTATATATATATATATATATATATATATATATACACACACACACATACATGGAGCTGTGTGCAGTGGCTCATGTCTGTAATCTCAGCACTTTGGAAAACTGAAGCGGGAGGATCACTTGGGCCCAGGAGTTCAAGACCAGCCTGGGCAACATAGCAAGACCCCGTCTCTACAAAAAATAAACAAAACTAGCTGGACGTGGGCATGCGCCTGTAGTCCTAACTACTTGGGAGGCTGAGGTGGGAGGATCACCTGAGCCTGGGAGCTGGGAGTTCGAGACTGCAGTGAGCTAAGATCACACCACTGCAGCACTCCAGCCAGGGCAAGAGCGAGACCCTGTCTCAAACAACAACAATAACAAAACCTCTAGGCATCATTACCCTCCCCATTTTATAGATGAGAAAACCAAGACACAGAAAGGTTAAGTAGCCCAAGTAATCTAGGTCCAGCTGCTTTTAACTATCCCATTTTACAGCCTCAAAGGAGTTTTACTTCTATTGGTCTTTAAGAGTCCTTTAATAAAATTAAAAATGAACCCCTAACTGTTAAAACCCAGCGTGTTGAAAGATACCATTTTTTAAAATGCCCGGTGGTCTTCAGGCTCTCTCGCATGAGCCTCACGGGACTCCCAAGTGGCACCTGTGATGGATAAGGAGACAGGCTCAGCGAAGTGAAATCACTCGCCTAGTGCCGCCTGCCAACAGGAGGAAGGGCTGAGGTTTGTCCCAGGTCTCTCGGACTGCACACATGCTCTTAGCTGGCCGAGTGCAGGGCCCAGGAGGGGGACTCTGCTATGAGAGGAGTGGGATGGGGAGGCCCTCGAAGTGAACCGCCATCATCATTTCATCTTGGGGCTGCCGCCACCCTGGAGGCCCATTCCTGCGAAGACCAGGAGGGGGCAGCATCTCCCTAGTGCATGAGCCTTAGGGCCCTTCAGGAGGCAGCCAAGGCCATGAAAGCTTCAGCCTTTCTGGCAAAAGTGGCTGGGCAGAGCGGGGAGGTAGAAGGTGGTGGCCTGATTTCTCCAGCTCGTTGCAGGTAGCGCCCATGAACATTCAGGGATGGGACCACCCAGCTGCAGGCATCAGTCACTCTGGGAGGGTGCTGGATAAGGGGCTATGGTTGACCGAGCCTCCTTCTAAGCCCACTTCATCCACCAACTCCCACCTGAAGCATCCCCCACGTCCCCACCCCGGCCCTGCACTGCAGGCTGCCTTCCCCTGGGGCCCTCACACAATTTCCCCATGGCTTCTTGAGGCCCTGGCTTTGTCCTAATCAGCTATTCCGGTGCTAGCTTCACTCCTCTGCCCCTCCTGCTCCGCTGGGCGGTGAGTTCCCGTGAAGCAGCACAGGCTGGGCCGTCTTCATCTTTTAACTGTCTCTCGACCTTTGCTGCACACTGTTTCGTTGACTGATTGAATAGGTGACATCTGTTCTGTCTGTTTCCTCCAGGGCTTGGCTACAACGAGGAGCAGATTCACAAGCTGGATAAGTGAGTGGCCTGTCCTCCGGCAGGTGGGTGGGCAGGAGGGTGGGTGTCCTCAGGGCAGAGCGATTCTCAACGCCAGAGGAGAGGCAGTGAAGGGCCCTGTCCCGGACTGCAGCTGAGCAGAGTTGGGGATAACAGGTTATCTGGGGCCAGGGGAGGGAGTATGCATAGCTTAGTTGGAGGGAGACTTCTCAGATGCAATCTTGAAGTAACTGGATTTACTTCTGGTATGGACAAGACTGTTTGCAGGCTTTTTTTTTCTCTAGTTGTCCTCACTGATGCACCACTTACCACTTCCTGCTTCTGCCCTCTGCCTGAACCTTCCCTGCCTCCCCCCGCTCCTCTGTCTCCCATGTTTCCCGGACACACTCACGTCCAGGAGGCCCTCCCTGATTTAATGGTTATCTGGGAACTCACTCCCCCAGTTCTACAAGCACCCCGACCCCTTTTTGTCTCACACACACACGCACTCACACACCTTCTTTCCACGGCTGCCTCACTTTCCCTTCCCTTTCCTGAGGACTAAGCTTGAGCACATGTGTGTTCCCTGAGGACCCCCTGTGTGTCTCCCACGTCTCCCTGTTGATGTGGGCTTTGCTGGCCACTGCAACCTTCACAATCCAAGTGTGTGACCGTCCTTCCTCCTTTCCCAGAGACATAGCCCTGCTGTGGACGCAGGGCTTGGGCACTTACGACAAGGTGGTGACGGAGACTGACGGAGACTGAGGGATGGTGGGCTTGTGCATAGTGGTTCTGGCAGCTCATCTGCACCTTGGTTCTCTGTCGTTCTAGGGTGAATTTCAGTCATTTAGCCAAAAGACTCCTGCAGGTGTTCCAGGAGGAGTGCGTGCAGAAGTATCAAGCGTCCTTAGTCACACACGGCAAGAGGATGAGGTAACAGCCCCTCCTGAGCTCCTGGAGCCCAGGGCCTGGCCTGGCCCTTCTAGGCTTCAGAGGACCCAGGGCTTTGTGGAGCCCTGAGGCAGAGGGAGGAGTGAGTGAAGGGGTGTGAGCAGAGGAGTGGTTTTCTGTCCCTGGGTGGACCAGGCAGTTGGCTGGGAGATTTCTGTAGCTCAGCTTATTTACTCCTACAACACCTGCCCTATACAGTAGATATCATCACCCTATTTCCTAGGTGAGGAAACTGAGGCTCTGAGAACAGGTCTCCTCTGCACATCACATGGCTAGTAAGTGGCAGACCCAAGACTCGTATGTGGCTCTGCCTGCCTCTACAATCTAGATTCTTCAGGGCTTTTGAGGGGTAAAATCAAATCAAATCTGGATTCTTTCTACCGTTCCACCTGGTTATATTGAGAAGTCTCCTTTAGGAGAACACTAGGTGCCCCTGGGATAAGGACAGTGGCAGTGGCCCTTAAGTAGAACCTTCTGTCACACTGTCCCCTTCAGGAGTTTTGGGTTCCGCCTTCTCAGATCAGGCCCACTCTCCATCCCCTGCCTGTGTGAACACTGGCCCCTCCTGAGAAGAGAGGACAATTTCCCACGTGCTACCACATTCTGAGGCCTGTAGGACCTCACCTTGTTATGGGGCTGAGACCTTGGCACTCACCCGTCCTCATATCAGAATACCAATGCCTGCTTCTTCTACTCCAACCCACCACACATTCTGGTGTAATTGCTCTGGAGCAGGGCTTGGATGTCAGTGTAGTACAGCTTCTCCAGGTGATTCTAATGTGTGGCGAGGGCTGACCTCCAACCCCTGATTTAACAGCTCTGGGCCTTGGGGAAAATGTTCCTGTTCCTTCACTCCACTTAGAGATAGAAGAGAATTCACACTGGAAATGAGAGCGTGGGCAGTTCCCCACACTGAGAGCCCTGGTGTGGGCTATCCTCTGCCTCTCTGCAGCCTGACTGGTGCCACGCTCACCATAGGTGGCATGCGTCACCCAGCCCCAGCCACATGCATGTTGTTGGTGCTCCACACTACGGCTCTGAAGGGGGCCTCCCAGCCTCAGCCAGCTGTGTGCTTCTGCATTATTGCAGTGGGGCGGGCAAGCGTGGAGGGCACAGCTGGCAGGGCAGAGGCAGCGAGGGAGGCAAATACCCGGGACCCACCTGTGTCCATGTGTGGATCCGATGGCAGCTAGGCGAGCCCTGGGGAATGGGCTGAGTCCTGCTCTAATTCTAAGTCTCTGTGTGTTCTCTTGAGGGTGGTGCACGAGACCAGGAACCACCTGCGCCTGGTTGGCTGTTCTGTGGCTGCCTGTAACACAGAAGCCCAGGGGGTCCAGGAGAGTCTCAGCAAGGTGGGCATGGCAGAAGGATTCTAGGTGCTCTGGGGATGCAGGCTGGGGCGCTTGTTACCCATGTCTTCCCCTCCTCCAGCACTCCCCCTACCCAGCCACACATAAGCTGGCTACTAATTGCTGACCAAAGTATGGCTTCCCTGCAGCTCCTGGAAGAGCTATCTCACCAGCTCCTTCAGGACCGAGCAAAGGGGGCTCAGGCCTCGCCGCCTCCCATAGCTCCTTACCCCAGCCCTACACGAAAGGACCTGCTTCTCCAGTAAGTGCTGGGGAGAAAGCGGTTGTGTATCTGTGTGGAAGGGGGTTGCAGGGAGCAGAGTATGCTGAGGTTAGAGCCTGAGGGGTTTGGCGTCATGCCAGGCCTAGGAGGCAAGATTAAAGAGACTAGCTGGGTGCGGTGGCTCACACCTGTAATCCCAGCACTTTGAGAGGCCAAGGTGAGCGGATCAACTTGAGGCCAGAAGTTGGAGACCAACCTGCCAAACATGGTGAAACCCCATCTCTGGTAAAAATACAAAATTTAGCCGGGTGTGGTGGCAGGCACCTGTAATCTCAGCTACTTGGGAGGCTGAGGCATAAGAATTGCTTGAATCCAGGAGGCAGAGGTTGCAGTGAGCCAAGATTATGCCACTGCACTCCAGCCTGGGCAAAGGAGCAAGACTCCGTCTCAAATAAGCAAACAAAAAAGAATAAAGAGGCTTCTTTGGTGGGGCTGCAGAGGAGGGTGGGCCTCCCAGGAAAAGGGTCTGGGCAGGGCAACTTCCAGCCTCAGCCGCCTCTCCTGCCTCTGCCTTGGGCAGCATGCAAGAGCTCTGCGAGGGGATGAAGCTGCTGGCATCTGACCTCCTGGACAACAACCGCATCATCGAACGGTAAGGAGCTTTCACCTTGTGTAGGTCAGGGCCGGGTCTTCAAGCTACCCTTGCCTGGGGGTGGTGAAGAGTCCCCAAGCCTGCCCATGCAGGTTTGATGACACGTGTCCATTTTCGAAGAAGCCCTGTTGAAGCTTAGGCATTTTCCACAAATGAGTTGACATCCTCAGGAGGTGTAGGGTTCACTTACAGCCTTTAAAATGTGAGCCTCCATGCTGTCAGGGAGATGGGGGCCTGGAGGCATGGGGTTTGTGCCTGTGTCCAGCTCTGCACTCCATATGTACTCTGTGCTCAAGCTGCCCCAGATGCCTCCTTGAATCACAGCCATCCTCAGGATAGGTGCTGTTTTCATCCCCATGTGCTACCCCAGGAAGCCACAGCGCAGACACCTTGGATACGATGCCCAAGGCCGGTGTTTCTCTGGCCTTGTGGGGCTCCCGTCCCTCCTGCCAATGCTCATGGGCCAGCCCGGGGCTGCAGGATCATCTCCTGATTTGACTCCCCTCCTTGGGGTGCTGAGGGGTCATGAGAGGTTGGTGTGGGAACGCAACAGGGCTCCGACTCTGAGATTGAGATTTTGCATACCAGTAAAAGTTCTTTCTTTTTTTTTTTTTTTTTTTTTTTTTTTTTGAGACGGAGTCTCACTCTGTCACCCAGGCTGGAGTGCAGTGGTACTGTGTCGGCTCACTGCAACCTCCATCTCCTGGGTTCAAGCAATTCTCCTGCCTCAGCCTCCTGAGTAGCCAGGATTACAGGTGTCCACCACCACACGCAGTTAATTTTTATATTTTTAGTAGAGACAGGGTTTCACCATCTTGGCCAGGCTGGTCTCAAACTCCTGGTCTCAGATGATCTGCCTGCCTTGGCCTCCCAAAGTGCTGGGATTACAGACATGAACCACTGCGCCCGGCTACGTACCAGTATAGTTCTAAAAGAAAACTCGAGAACAACAGAGTTACCAGCTGCTCACATAACCAAGTAAGCACATTTGAAGTAAAAAAAAAAAAAAAAAAAAGCCCTGTCATCTAGTAACCCTACTTTATAAAACACATTTTACCACCAAAGAGAGATAACCTCAGGATAAAGGATGGTCCTTGCTTGCCCTGAAGGCCAGCGGCCCTGTTTATATACATGTACACACGTGCACGCATCTCCCACTCCTGCCTGTCATCCTCGTGTCTGTCATTTTCCTGTCTGAGAACCAATGGCAGGGTAGAGTCAGCAGAGGTTCCTACAGGATTTCAATCCTGACCCTGCTTTTTACCAACTGCGTGACCCTGGGAGGTGTGTTCAGCTTTGAGCTTCAGTTCCCTCCCCTGTGAAACAGGAGTAATAATTTCTACCTCATGGTGTTGACATAGGGATTTAAAAAAATGAGATATGCAAGGTGCTTGCGCATAGGGGGGTGTGGAGGGAAGGGCTCACTAAATGTTACTTCTTCCCCAGAGGCCACTCCAGTCTCACACTAGAATTGGGGCCAGGAGGTAGGGAAACCAGGAGCAGAGCTTGTGGTTTGTCCCCAGAGTTTCAGAGGGTCCTTGGGTAAGGGAGGAATCTCCTCCCTGTCCTGTTCCAGCAAGAGAACTCATCCTCTTAAACACCCACAAAGAGGACATTTGACAGCTTCTTGGAAGGATTTTCCAAAACAGCCCTCTTGGTCAGGAAGTTCTAATTTTAGTGCCAACAAAAATTGCTCTTGCTGTGATATGTCATCTATTTGCAGATAGCTCAAAACTTTATTTTAGTGAATTTTCACTTCCTTATTCAGAGCTGTAGCCAAAGAGCCAAATGAATCCATTTAAACTCCTTTCCCCTCCTAAACCTTGGCTACACACTGGAATCACCAGGGGAGCTTTTAAACGTACAAATGCCTGGGTCTTGCCCCAGAGACTCTGGGTACAGCTTGTGGTTAGGATTTGCATGAGCTTTCCAAGTGATTCCAACATATAGTCAGAGGCGAGAGCCAGTGGGTTCTTGTCGGGGA
This sequence comes from Homo sapiens, assembly GCF_000001405.40. Taxonomy (NCBI): domain Eukaryota; kingdom Metazoa; phylum Chordata; class Mammalia; order Primates; family Hominidae; genus Homo; species Homo sapiens. The sequence continues at coordinate 206,495,976 of NC_000001.11, forward strand.
GTGAGGGTGCTACAAGGGGAGAGCTGAGGACTTGAATGGCTCAGTGTTCTTGAAAGCTAATTGTGCTGGGCCCTGGAGTGTGGTCTGCAGGCCTCTCCAACAGGTGGGCACTGCTAGCCTGTACCTTTTCTTGTAGGCTAAATAGAGTCCCAGCACCTCCTGATGTCTGAGCTCCATGGGGCACATGAGGCATCCTGAAGCATTAGAATGATTCCAACACTGCTCTTCTGCACCATGAGACCAACCCAGGGCAAGATCCCATCCCATCACATCAGCCTACCTCCCTCCTGGCTGCTGGCCAGGATGTCGCCAGCATTACCTTCCACTGCCTTTCTCCCTGGGAAGCAGCACAGCTGAGACTGGGCACCAGGCCACCTCTGTTGGGACCCACAGGAAAGAGTGTGGCAGCAACTGCCTGGCTGACCTTTCTATCTTCTCTAGGCTCAGGTACTGCTCCTCCATGCCCATGGCTGGGCCGTGGGGAGAAGAAGCTCTCATACGCCTTCCCACTCCCTCTGGTTTATAGGACTTCACTCCCTAGCCAACAGGAGAGGAGGCCTCCTGGGGTTTCCCCAGGGCAGTAGGTCAAACGACCTCATCACAGTCTTCCTTCCTCTTCAAGCGTTTCATGTTGAACACAGCTCTCTCCGCTCCCTTGTGATTTCTGAGGGTCACCACTGCCAGCCTCAGGCAACATAGAGAGCCTCCTGTTCTTTCTATGCTTGGTCTGACTGAGCCTAAAGTTGAGAAAATGGGTGGCCAAGGCCAGTGCCAGTGTCTTGGGGCCCCTTTGGCTCTCCCTCACTCTCTGAGGCTCCAGCTGGTCCTGGGACATGCAGCCAGGACTGTGAGTCTGGGCAGGTCCAAGGCCTGCACCTTCAAGAAGTGGAATAAATGTGGCCTTTGCTTCTGTTTCTGGTGGCTCTCCCTGGGCTGTGTCTGCAAGGCAGGGCTCTCAGCTGGGTGTGCTTGGCAACCAAGTGGGGTCTGGGCGGGGATCTGTGAGAAGTGCTGGGAAATGGGGGTGGGAATTGGTCATGTCCTGATTTCTGCCTTTCCCCTAAATGGGCCCTAATTTCAAGGAAGAACCCAAGGGGTGCCTTCCCATTCCTTCCATTCTCTTGCCCCCGCATCATTTGGAAAGCTGTGTGAGGGGCCTGGAACTTAGGGAGAAAGGTATTCTTCTTTTTTTTTTTCCTTCAAACCCACCATCTAAGTGGCTACTGCTTTTTTCCCATCTCCACAGCTATTCAAAACCTAGGCTATGTCCTAAATAGTGGGTTTGAATAGTATTATGGGTTATTTTAAGCATTCCTTCATTTTGTCTAGAATCTAGAGTGGTGCCTGGGCAAGGCATTCTGACTTTTGCAAACTGCTTGCAAATTTACCTCCAGCCTTCCCATAAACCAGAGCTGGACTACCCACCTACCTGGGTGGGTGAAGGAAGGGGAAGGGGAAATGCAGTAAGGTAGCCCCAGTAGGAGAGAGAGACGAGTGGGAAGCCCCACTGTGTGCTTCGAAGCGTGAAGACAGCATTATGCTTGACTGGAAATAACCCCAGAGATCCTTCCTGTCCATCTTCATGGGAGCCCCCACATCCTGAGGCCACTCTACTCACCTGGTAGGGCCAGAAATGGGGAAGGGTGAGTCCTGGAGGCTTCTGTCCTCTGTGGTGCTTCTCTGTGCAAAGACCAGCACTCTAAAGGCCTGGGGGAAGGTGGCTGGAGGTTGTTTCCTTGCATCAGGTCCAAGTGGCTTTGTGTTTGTTATTTGGGCCTCAAGCCCGTGGAGTCACTTAAGCCCAGGGGTTCAAGTCCTGGGGCCTCAGAGACCAGCTGCCGCCTTGATGTTCCTGGGTACTAGACCACCTCTCGTCCACTCTGCTGGCCTGAATTTCTGGCCAACACTTCCAGCCCATGAGTGGCCCTTCAGGGAAGTCCCACAATGGGTTTTCCCTGGCAGCAACAGCTTGCAAAACCCCATGTGCTTGGTGGAGCTCAGTGAAGGAGCCAGGGGATCCCTGAATGCCAAATACAGATTTTTGGGAGATGATATGATCCAGGCTGTATGATCTCATGAGCAAAGCCTATGAGATGTGGCGGACAAACTCACTCAAAGGCTTCAGTTCAGTTGTTTTTTTTTTTTAATTTTCCTTCTTTTTTTTTTTTTGGCAGGGTTTTGCTCTGTTGCCCAGGTTGCAGTGGAATGGTATAATCTTGGCTCACTACAGCCTCGACTCACTGTAGTGATCAAGCGATCACCACTACTACTCACTGTAGGACCAAGCAATCCTCCTGCCTCAGCCTTCCAAGTAGCTGGGACTACAGGCGTGCACCACCACACCCAGCTAATTTTATATTTTTTGTAGAGATGAGGTCTCACTATGTTGCACAAGCTGGTCTTGAACTCCTGAGCTCAAGCAACCCTCCTTTCTTGGCCTCCCAAAGTGTTAGGATTACAGGCGTGAGCCACCACGCCCAGTGGCTTCAGTTCATTTCTATGCAAGGCAGAGCTGCTGACATCAGTGCCTCCCTGGATCTGAGGTTCTGCAGAGCTGCTGATTCCATCTCAGTAGGAAATGAGGAACTGGACCAAGACCCAGAACAACCCATAAGATCCTCAGGTGTCTGAAGACCTCTTTAATGTACCTCTCCATTCTCTGCAGTGATTCCTAACATAACACTTAAAATGAAAAGAGCCCATTCAGTTCACCAGACATGATCTGAGCCCTTACAGTGTACCAGGCCCACGGGATGCTGGAACTACAGAGGTGACTAAGCCACCTTTCTGGCTCATGGGGAGCTCACCTCTATGGGGGAAGACAGGTATGCCACAGATAGCTTCCCATCATGGAGGAGGTGCTATGCTAGGAATGCAAACATCCAGTGTGGTCCTGAGTCACCATCCTCACAGGGGAGGGTGCTTAGGTCAGGCTGGGAAACTTCCTAAGTGTCAGGGAGTGACTGAGAACAGGTGAATCCAAAGTGGTCTTAGCAGGTGAGCAGGTGATACCTAGCAAAGAAGGTGTGGGAGGCATTCCTGGCCGTGGGAGCAGCAGTGGCACAGGCATGGGAAGAGCTACTAGTATTTCTATATGACTGGAGAGTAGGTTAAAGTAGGATGCTGGTATTGTGGAAAGGGAGGAGCCAGTCCAAAAGGTCCTTGCAGGCCACACTGAGGAACTTGGACTTTACCCCAGAGGACCACAGAGAGGTTTTAGGTCAAGTCCAACTGGTATTTTAAAGATACTACTCCTCGGTGCCCGTGTGGTGAGTGGAAAGTTGTGGGTAGGAATAGATTAGCTATGTGCATAAAGTGCCTAAAACTCAATATTATTATTATTATTGTTATTATGTGAGACGCAGTTTTGCTCTTGTTGCCCAGGCTGGAGTGCAATGGCACTATCTCGGCTCACCGCAACCTCTGCCTCCCGGATTCAAGCGATTCTCCTGCCTCAGCCTCCTGAGTATCTGGGATTACAGGCGTGTGCCACCACGCCCGGCTGATTTTGTATTTTTAGTAGAGGCGGGGTTTCTCCATGTTGGTCAGGCTGGTCTTGAACTCCTGAGCTCAGGTGATCCACCCACCTCGGCCTCCCAAAGGGCTGGGATTACAGGCATGAGCCACCGCACTGGCCCCAAACACAGTATTATTAACACAATAGTTCTCTGCATACTCCGCTCACCTTCCCCATCCCCTCCCCACCTCATTCAGCTATGAGCCCCTGCACAGGGTAGGTAGAGGAAACAAGTTCTTGTCTCGTATGGGCTGAGTCGGGGGCTCAGATCAGTCACAGATATCTGGGAAGATTCCATGTGGCATTCAGATTCATGGCTAGCAGCCTCTTAAAACAGGCTGATCCAAGCTAAAAGGGGGCCTAACTGGAAGGATGAGGGGGCCTGTCCCAGGAACCCAGGCAAGAAGTACAGTCAGTTCTGGAGGGCAGGGCGCTACAGGGCTATATCTCTCTTTCTCTCCCAGAATCCACACAGTTTCCTCTCTTGAGACTGGTGTCCTGGTTTCAAAACACATATTCTGGGATCCCACTCAGCTCCTGAATCCAATCCGTAAGGGTGTGGCTCAGGAATCTGTATTATTGATGAGCTTCCCTGGTGATTCTCACACCAGCTCAGGTTTGAGAACACTGAGGCAGAGTTTACAAAGATCCTGCAGAGGGCATGTGAATGGCCCAACAGAGGCCAATTGGCAGTGCGTGGTACACTGGACCAGGCACCCCACTCCACACCCACCCTGAGAGCTGAGGCCAGGGCAGCCAGTCTAAGGACAGGATGGATCTCAACCATGGCCAGGCCACCCTCCTACTGGAACCACCGTTTGCTTTCATGGAGCCACCTTGCTTCAGTATCCTCACAGGATTGCTGCAACTGGTCATTTTGGGTTCACTTCCAAACTGCTTCAAAGATTTTTATTTATGTTTATATATTTATTTTTTTTTAAGACAGAGTCTCGCTCTGTTGCCCAGCTGGAGTGCAGTGGTGCGATCTTGGCTCACTGCAACCTCTGACTCCCTGGTTCAAGTCATTCTCCTGCCTCAGCCTCCCAAGTAGCTGGTACTACAGGCATGCACCACCACGCCCAGCTAATTTTTGTATTTTTAGTAGAGACAGGGTTTCACCACGTTGGCCAGCATGGTCTCGATCTCCCGATCTCCTGATCCGCCCACCTCAGCCTCCGAAAGTGCTGGGATTACAGGCATAAGCCACCGTGCCCGGCCTATATTTTTATTTATTTATTTATTTATTTATTTATTTATTTATTATTTATTTATTTGAGACAGAGTGTCACTCTGTCCCCCAGGCTGGAGTTCCGTGGCGTGATCTCGGCTGACTGCAACCACCTCCCAGGTTCAAGCCATTCTCCTGCCTCAGCCTCCCGAGTAGCTGGGTCTACAGGTGCCCACTACTATGCCTGGCTAATTTTTGTATTTTTAGTAGAGATGGGGTTTTCACCATGTTTGGCCAGGCTGGTCTCAAACTTCTGACCTCAGGTGATCTCTCTGCCTCGGCCTCCCAAAGCGCTGGGATTATAGGCGTGAGTCACCGCGCCCAGCCATGCTTGGATGATTTTTTCAAGGGTGGAATTCTGGCTTCTTTTCCCCGATCTCACAAAGGATCCTTAATCAGGCAACCCCAATGGGAAGTGTTAAGGAATAGCCAGGCTGACCTGAAGTAGCTTCAGTTTCTGTTCCTTGGAAGCTCAGAATGACTGCGGCTGGAGCAGTGTGGCTCCCTTCCCTTCATTCTTCAGCGGAGACAGAGGAGGAGGGGTGAGATAAGAGGTGGGAGTGAGAAAGGAGAGAGGGAGGGGGAGATGAAGAGGGATGGAGAGGGAGATAGTGGATGAGCAGGGCACAGGGAGAGGAAGCAGAAAGGAGAGGCAAGACAGGGAGACACAGAGCACAGAGGAGGAGACAGGTGGGGGCTGGGGTGGGGCAGGGAGAGCCTGTGAGGTCACCCAGGCCACCCTGCTCTCGCTGGTCTGTTGTAACCCAGTCCATGGCTTCCTGCCACTGCAGTGGGCCCAGGGCTGGCTTAGTGCTGGAATGCAAGTGGCTGTGGCTTGGAGCCTCCCCTCTGGCTGAGGGAAAAAAATTGCTGACAAATCTGCTTGGAATATCTGAGTTTTTCCAACGCGGAAAGAAAACACACACACACACACACACACACACACACACACACACACACGCCAGTCTTATCATAAGCCTGGCAGAGCAGCTCAGGATGGAAAAATTTCATAATTGAGATGGATGGAGGAGGTGCCACTAAAACTGGTGGAAAACAAGCCCCACCTGCCCCCACTCTACGTGATGACACCTTTCCAGGAGCCCTCAGATCCCTCCCTGCTTTTGTCCCCCCTTGATCTGCCCTTCTTGTCCCCAAGTACTGTCAAGGACCTAGGAGATCCCCTTGGGAGCACTGGAGTTTGGTGACATACAGAAAGCCCATTCCACCAAGAGTCGAGATGGTGCCCCACCAGCCCTCAACCCTGGCCAGCTACAAACATCTGGAGGCAGGAAATTCACCCAGTGACCAGAATCTTGGAGGAGGTACATGAGTCTTAAATGGAGCTCCCAATACTACTCCAACTTCTACCCAGCCCCAGCAGGTCCTCGGGGACCCTCCATGCTCCCCAAACCAAACGATTCCTCCATCTCTCCATCTCTGGGTGCAGGAGGCGTGGCTTGAAGAGACGTTAAGAAAAAAAATCCTGGAATAGGTACAGGTTAATGGGCATCTCCAGTTAGCCCTGCACAGTGGGATCAGAAAGACCACTAAGACCCAAGCAAGGGAGGCAAACATGTACAAACTGAGCTGCAACTCATGTTAGGATAATCTGAACTTCAAAGGCACAATGGGCTTCTTGTGAGATCCCAGGGAAGGAGCCATGAGTGAGGTCTGGGTGACTGTGAAGGCTCTGGAGGACCTGGCGTTTGGACTAGACCTTGGGAGTGGAGCAGGGTTTCCACAGGGAGAGGAAACTGGGGAAAGATTTTGCTGATCCTTCAAGCTGCACCTACAAAGTGAGATCAGAGATTCTGAGCCCTGCCCTTTCTACCACACCAGCTGGGCAGGACAAAGGCAAATTCATGGATCTGAGTGGATATGAGTCCAGACTGTGATACCTGTTTGGGCCAGTCACATGACTTCTCTGAGCCTTGATTTTCTCACCTGTAAAACAGGAATGCCAGCCATTTCACAGAGTTGCCATGAAGATGAAATCATTCAAGCCAAAAGTGCCTGCCGCATAATAGATGCTCAATGTATGTTTCTTGAGCAGATACATGTAACTTATGGCACTTTACAAGGGATTTCTCTCACAAACACATTTTGATCCTCCAACAACATTTTGTCATGGTCCCTGCTCTCAGTCTAGTAATGTAAAATATTACTGACCCCCATCACACATTGCAAGCAGCACTCACTTCTTTGGAAAGCTGAGCTCTGCATGCAACATGCTGCCCAAGAAGGAAAGGAAGCAGCACTGGAGACCTGTGTTTCATAGCTAACCAAGATAAGGGCATTTTTTTCCAAATGTCTGTGGAGGGGGTCACACCATTTTAACTATTTACTGCTGTAACCCCATTTTTAAAGTGTAGTCTGTGAGCCATCTGAATCAAAGTCTCTTGCAAAATCCCGGCCAAAATCCAGACATACTGAATCAGAGGGTCAGGTCCCAGAATAGGCATTTTGAACAAACTCAGGTTCATAAAGCTTGAAAAGTTTTTGGGGCTGTTGTGCCTGTTGTTCTCTTAGTCTGGGACACTCTTGTCCAGATTGACAAAGGGCTTGCTTCATTCAGATCTGCTTAAATGTCTGCTCCTCAGAAAGGTCTTTCCTGACTACTCAATCTAATAGAGTAGCCTCTATCACCTTCATCCCCTTAATGTGCTTGATTTTTCATCAAAGTGCTTACAACCTGATATCATATTACTCTTGTGTCTGTTTATTGTCTGGCTCTTTCACTAAATGCAAGCTTCATGAACATATCCATTTCACTGTTGTACCTTTAGTGCCTAGAACAGTGCTTGATACATAGTGGATATCAGAGAATTACTCATTAAATGAATGAATAACTGCTCTATGCCCTTGAAGATTGCACTGGCCATTAGCGCTGATTGCCAAATATTTCCAGCCCTTTCCCCTTCTGAGCACAAGGTAGAATTTTACATCTGCTCCTGTTTGTAGAGTGGGGTCATATGACTAGTTCTGGCCAATAAGCTGTGAGCAAAAGTGACTGGAGCTTTTAAATGCTGATGTGGGATCCTCCAGGCTCTCTCAATCTCCCTTTGGCACAGTGACTGGCAATATTAGACATGGTGAGTCTGATGAGAAGAGAGCACCTGCCAACCTGCAAAAGGCATGTAATGTGAGCGAGAAAGGAGTCTGTTATTTCAGGGCACTCAGCTGTGGAGCTTATTACTACAGCATAACCTAACTTGTCCTGACTCTTACAGTGATTCCATGTAGACAGTTGTGCAACTGTCAGAATCCCTGGGAGTTCCCTGAAAGCTTCGGGGATTTCAGGCGACTTCAGACGCCTCAAAGTCAAACAAAACCAAAAATGTCCCCTTCAGGAAGTCAGGCCATGTTCTGTCCTTCCGTTTTCCTTCTTACTAGGGAACTTGGGGAGGGAGGCTGGGCGGCAGCAGTTAAACAACTCACCCAATGGGAAAACCAGCACGCTCTGGGACCACCTCTGAAGTGATCTCACACCCTGACCACACACTCTAAACTCACTGTCATAATCCTTCCCCTTGGTCAAAAATAAAAGCAGCACACCCACTCTGCTGGGAGTGAGTCACAAACAGAAAAAAGTCAATGGGTCTGAGCCAAGAGGATCTACTAACAAGGGGAAAGATCTCCCAGTGGAGGTGTTTCAGCGGATGCTGCGGTCTTACCCTTGTAGCCTGGATGACCAGACAGATCAAAAAAAATGTTAAAGTCCAGGCATCTGACACTACCCCAGCAATGTCCTGAGCTTATAATGAGACTAGAGTTTCTTTAGCACTTCTTCCCTGGGGAAGAAGGAATACTCTGCTGTTCATGTGGGGTGTGTGTGTGTGTGTGTGTGTGTGTGTGTGTGCATGGGAGCAAGAAAGAAGTCTATGTGTGTGTCGTGGGTTGGTGGGGAAATGCTATTTCAAGGAAGAAGGGGACTGGGCTGGGAAAACTGGCATCAGAGGAGACATGCCCCAGCCAGGGAGCCTCACATTGAGGTTAAGAAGGGCAACTGCCCGCCCCAACTCTAATTTCTTGGCTCAAGGAGATGAACTTTAAGATAAACTTTATGATAAATTTTTTGATTGGTTACATGGAGTTATATGATTAATATCTCCATTTTCATCTCTTTTCCCACCCCAGAAGCCAAATATAGGGCTCTGGCCCTGCACAATCTCCTCCCACATTCATGCTAAGAGCAGCCACTGCCACTCCACCAAATCAGAGCTGCAGGAGGAAAACAAAAACTAGAGCATTTTTCTGTACAGCCCAGACAACTGGGGAAGAGTTTTATGCCTGATGGTTTCAGATAGCCCTCAGTTTCCCGTGGCCAGAGATGACGCTCCTCCTCATGAGTCTCTCTATCCAGGAAATCTGGGCTGGGCTGCCCAAACCATGCTTTGAGGCTGCAGGGAAGGACAGAGATGGAGACTGTTAGCAATTATTTCACAAATGGCTTTTCAAAGCCGATCTTCCAGGGATGCACTTGTTGTCAGATCCCTGCTGCTTCTTGCCCCACCAGGCTGTCACTCAGAGCTCAAGCTGTTTCCATGCCCAGGACCTCACCCACCCACTGCACTCCAGGAAGGGGATGAGTCTCAAGTGTGTGGAGATGGGTAACAGAGTGTGGACACAGCAAATATTTATATGGAATACAGATTTCTGCAACAACCCCAAGAGAACTGCTTGCAGAAAAAGTGGGAGATTAAAATAAGAGACCACAAGGGCAAATTGTATTTTCCCTTTTACACCTTCAGCAGAAAGTATTCAGGAATAGCCCTCATTGGGCTTTTATCTGTCAGGTCCACTGAAGTACACTTGTCCTGGGGAGAAGGAACAGAGAAGCCCATTCTCAGAATCACCACCTCAGACCTAGAGCAATGGTTTTCCAAGTTGGGTCCCTGGATCAATAGCATCAACACCTGGGAACTTGCTCAAAATGAGCCATCTCAAACCCCAGCCCCAGACCTATAGATTCTGAAACTTTGGGGATGAAGCCCAATAATCTTAACAAGCCCTCCAGATGACTGTGATGCATACCAAGGTTTGAAAACCACTGATGTAGCAAAAGCAAGGTTAGGAGAGGGAAGAGGAAAGGTAGAGGAGGGGTGGGGCAGAGGCGGTGGCCTGTGGCTTACACCCCTCATCGGAGCTCCTCTGTTTGGTAGCACTGTGGGGTTGACTGTCCCATGGGTCATTCCTCAGAAACCACCTCATAGGGTGAGCTCCCGCCTCTGGTGAGCCCCCAGAGCCCCAGGAACCTCTCTTCTGCTACAGATTTGGGAGGCAGAGGACTATGATTACCGTGAGGGAGAAGCCATGGAGCAAAGCTGGCTGGGAATTCCCTGGCCACTGGACTCTGGAAATCTTAGGAATTACCTAAAAATTACCTCCAAGGGAAAAACAAAAAGCAAAAGTGAAGATTCCCCTACGAAGCACTAGGGGGAGACCCATCTCTGGCCTGGGAAGAGAAGGGAGAGACCAGGTCCAGAAGAATTTAGACTATTCTTCTAAAAAATGACCACCGCTAGACGGACCAAACCGAACCTGTGTTTTAAGAGGAAAGCTGTGATCACTGAGTCATAATGACGGAGCTGGAGAGTGCCACGTTAACAACCACCTGTCTCCCCACCTCCAGCCCAATGTACAGTTAACAATACTGGGGCTAGAGAGGGCCAGGGCCCAGGCCCAGGTTCAGAGATCCAGGAGTCCTCCTTATCCATAAGATGGGCCTGTTTCCATGGGCAAAGGTGCCTGTCAGGAACAACTACATAATTTGTGGGAACCAGTGCAAAAAGAAAACGCCTGGCCCTTTGTTCAAAAAGTAAGACTTTCAAGATGGTGACCGCAGAGCGTTAAACCAGACAAGGGTCCATGAAGGCTTGAAGCAAGCCTTCACGGGGGAAAGTGCCGGGAGAAAGGAGATCTCTCTTTGGGTCCCATGAGTGAACCATCCATACCAGGTTCCACTTAGGGCATTTAGGGGAACTGGTATCTCCACAGTAATTACTAGAGCAGCTCTGGGGAACGGAGGGTTGGCTAAGGAAGAAAAGCTCCCCCAACCCTTGGGGCGAGGGAGCGTTCTCTCAATGGAGCCCCCCCAACTCCCCTCCACCCCCCACCAGTCTTCCAGGAAAGAGGAATACCCTACCCGGCAGGGCTGCGAAGGAAGGGGAAATCCAACCAGAGCGAAAGTCGCACGCGGACAGCTCTGCCAGCCCTTGGAGGCATCCGGCGGTCACCCACGGGACAAAGCGCGGCTGCGGGAGCGCGCGCGGGGCATTCCGGACCCGCGTCGAGCTCCGCTCTAGAGGGGGCGGCGGGCGGCGACAAGCCGGAGAGAGGAAGGGCCAAGGAGCACGGCCCTCCTGTCGGCACCATCAGCGGGAGAGTGGCGAGCGGACGCCTAGACGGAGGGGCCCTACTCAGACCCCATCGAGCCAGTTCCCAAGCTTTTCCCTCCGACCTGCTCCCTCCCGGGGCGCGTGAGGGTGCGGGTCGGGGGTGAACCTGGTGTTGGGGAAAGTGATTGGCAAGGGAAAGAGGCAGGGCTGAAGGCCTAGGGCCCCCCGCAGAAATGCGCCCTCTGAGCTGTACTGTACAGAGGCGCTCCTCTGCGGAATCCTGCAGCTGCTCCAGGTGAAGACGCCCCCAAATCCACACTCGCGCAGACGTCGCCTGGCACGGACCCTACCCCCTTCGGTCCGTCGGCGGTTCTCTTGGGTCGTCCTTCCTGCCACTCCGACTCTCCCCGCCCCCGCCCCGCCCAGCAGGCTGCGGTTCCTTTAAAGGCGCGCTGGTGTGGGGCGGCCCCTTCTCTCGGGGCTGGCTCGGGAGTAGCGCAGTCGCCAAAGCCGCCGCTGCCAAAGCTGCCGCCACTAGCCGGGCATGGCCATGGCGTCCCCGGCCATCGGGCAGCGCCCGTACCCGCTACTATTGGACCCCGAGCCGCCGCGCTATCTACAGAGCCTGAGCGGCCCCGAGCTACCGCCGCCGCCCCCCGACCGGTCCTCGCGCCTCTGTGTCCCGGCGCCCCTCTCCACTGCGCCCGGGGCGCGCGAGGGGCGCAGCGCCCGGAGGGCTGCCCGGGGGAACCTGGAGCCCCCGCCCCGGGCCTCCCGACCCGCTCGCCCGCTCCGGCCTGGTCTGCAGCAGAGACTGCGGCGGCGGCCTGGAGCGCCCCGACCCCGCGACGTGCGGAGCATCTTCGAGCAGCCGCAGGATCCCAGAGTCCCGGCGGAGCGAGGCGAGGGGCACTGCTTCGCCGAGTTGGTGCTGCCGGGCGGCCCCGGCTGGTGTGACCTGTGCGGACGAGAGGTGCTGCGGCAGGCGCTGCGCTGCACTAGTAAGTGTGAAGGCAGGGGAGGGGCGTGCGGGGAGACCGCAGTCTGGGGGCGAAGGACTGGGAGGGCCCTGGGGCAGGGAGAGAGGGGCCATTACACTCTTTGGCTCCAGGGGAGCCCCGAACATAAGGAGATAACAACCCCTGGGGACAGTCCGCTCCTTAGTTCCCTGCCCGGTATCCTTTAGTGCCTGCCCACTACCTAGGTATGGTTATGCGGTAGTTAACAGATACCTGTCTCCTGACAGGTGCGTGCCTTGGCCCTCCACACACACACACACACACACACACACACACACTCGCACACAGGTTGTGGGGGGTGGGTGGGTGATGGCCTCGGCGGCCTCTGTCATCTCCCTGTGCACCCTCATGGTTTTGTTGTGAGTTCTTGGGAGTGGGTTGTGAGACTGCTGTTGAGATGACCGTTTGACCCTTGCTTATTAGGGTTACTGACAAAACGCTTGTTTGTCCGCCCATGGTACAGGCTCAGACCTCTCCTCCAGGGGGACGTATTGGGACAGGGAGGAGACCTTGTTAGATTTTGGATAAAGGCAGGCTGTGAGGCTGAAGAGAGCCTGAAGTCACCCTGAACCCGTGCCCCCTCCTGCCTTTCACCTCTGGCCCCTCAAACCTTTGGACTCTGCTCCAATGTTTGGCTGTGCCCTGCCTCCTCCCCTTCCTCCTCCTGGGTTCCTGCCCTAGTCGTCATGCTCTAACATTACTCAGCTCCTGACAGGGTCCCTTCCTCTCCACAGCCCTCAGGCCCCTCCAGTCACCTCCTGAGCCAGGCGCTTCTCAAAGCCAGAAAACACTGGGCCCCCAGTGTATAGATTTTCTGAGCCAATCTTCAGTCTCCTTGGGGGTTTATTATTTTTCTCCTCCTACAGTTAGGGGTGTGTATGCCTTTAATAGGTGTCCACCCTCCACCCCCACCCCGGCATTTGCTCTTGCGTGTTTATCAGAGGATATCCACAGCCATGTGTTCATGTGTTTACATGGATATTTCAAATATCTGAAGCCCAAAGCACAGACAATGGCACAGCCTCTAACAAGCATCTCTGGAAATGGATTGTGGTTTGCATCTTTCAGCAAAGGCCCTTCCCCTATGGCAGCAGCCTCACGTCTCCCATCCAACTGCAGCGTTGGACAGCAGCAGTGATTTCCACATCAGGAAAACCCTACCCTTTTTCTGCCTGCAGTCTGCAGCGGAGGCTGTTCAATGTGCTGCCCGCTGCAGCTGGCTGCAGGGAAATAGAACTCAGACACTAAGCCTGGGTCAAGTGGAAGGGAAAGATTGGAAGGGCAAGTGGGTGCTGCTCTTTCCTCCACCAGAACCCCCAGTTCAGGTGCTAATTAAGAAGGAAGGAGTAAAGGTTTGTAGAGGTACATGTTGTGGGTAGAGGGGCTGCTGTCCCTTGGTAAATGCCTTTGACTACAGTAGAATCAAATGCAACTTATCCTTGGATGTGTTGGCAGCTTTTGCACTTTCAAGATTCCCTTACTGCATCCAACAACCCTACACACAGGGAGAGAGGCAGGAGCCTCACTGAAATGGGTTTTATCATAGCTGGAATCCCAGGAAATCTGCTTCGTTGGCATTCTAGTTTGTAGTTAGACTTTGGGGGACTGTATCACTTGTTGAAGATTTTGCACATAGTTTTGTGATTTTCTTTTTTTTTTTTGGTTTGGTGATAATGGTGCGTTTGTGTGTATTTGCGTGTGCCTGTGTGTGATACTCCATGACTAAATGAATTGATCCTTACGTCACATCAGAATTGTCGATCTCCTTTGATTAAGTCATACGTCGTTTCTAGTGGCAGGAAGATCTAGGCCCCCGGGCAGTACCTCTGACTTTGTGTGTGACTTGGTGAGGTCTTTTTACTTTCCTGGGCGCTCATGGTCCCCCACAGAGTTGGTTTAATGCTAACGATGTCTGAACACTGGAGAGAAAGCAAAACTGGAATCGAGGGGCTACAGAAAGGAGTCTCTGTTTGTCATGATTAATATTTAACTAATTGTGAACCTATGGCTGGATGGCAAAAGTTGAGAAATGTTCTGATGTGCAGATGAGGGCTGGCAGGTGGAGACACAGCAGGCCAAACTCGCTGAGCATCTTTCTTTAAGTTGAAGGTCTGATTCCATGGTGAGGTTGCTTTGTTTTATCTTCATTTTGAAAAGCAAGTGTCAGAAATAGGACTTTAAAAAAAATCATACTATGCAGTAGTTAAGAGTACAGACTGGAACCAGAGCCCTGGGTTTGAATCCTGACTACCACTTAGTCCCCACGTGAGTCCTGGACATCTCTGTGTTCTGCTTCTTTGTTTAAAAAAAATAGGATAATGATATTACCTACTTCATCATGTTAATCTGAGAATTAAATGGATTAATATACATAAGGCACTCAGAACAGGGCCTAGCAAAATGCAATACGAATGTTTAATTCGATATGATTGTTATTGTCCCCTCCCATCTAACAGCTGTAACAACTAGTCTGGGCTTGTGACACCTCCTAGGATTACCTTTCGAAGCAGTGAGTACAATTTGCGAACTCTGCCTGGTTGCTGAGCTAAGTGGGGAAGTGACTGCCATAGACATCCCAGAAAATTTGGGTATTAGGTGTCCTCTAGAAATGCCACTCCTACCTGATGTCCTGCTGTGGCTGAGGAGACCCTTCTTTGCCTGGCATAGGGGCCACGAAGCCATTGGCTCCTTGTCTTTGTGTTTCTTGCACCCAGCAGAGTGCCAGGCCCAGAGCAGGGTCTCACTATGTGGTGAGTGATGAAAGTGATGGCTTGTTTGTGCTATTAAATATCCCAGCCCTTGGAAACAAGCAGGAGGGCAGTGGGTATGTGAGTGACATCTGTCTGCCCAGGAGACTGACACTGGGTGGGAACCATGTTGGCAGAAGGGCACTTTAGTAAGGAAAGCATTTTGGAAAACACTCTTCCCACTGTCTGCCTTTTTAGCAAAAGTTCATCTAACCTAAGCTTACCCCACTTCAAGGTCTGTAACCAACCTCTGGTTAATGCTGGATTTGTGAACAGGGAAGTTCAGAGTTAATATTAATTTCTAGGATTAAAGAACTCCTAGTTGTGAGATAGAGAAGGAAATCCAGTGGGGATCTGTGGAAAGGCAGAGAGAGAACGAAAGGTCCTGTGAGCCCATGTGTGTGTTTTGGGGTAGGGGTGATGGTGATGGCGAGAATGCATTTCTAGCATTCTAGGAGGGAATGGTCAACAGCAAATAACCAGAGAAACTCACTGGCTGCCCTTTGGCTTTATTCTCAGGGACTTCCCCTTACAGATGACGTCCCTTAGTGTTCCTTCTGTAGAAGGCGCATGGAGGTGGCCTTTTACCTTTCATCTCATTTTGGTGGCTGCGTAAGCCATCCTGGACCAGGGGATGGTCTGGCACTTGGAGAAACCTAAGCCTGACTCAAACCCTCCTGGAGATGCTTAGACACACCTTGGCCATTGTCAGTGAATGCCACCTGTCTGCTCCTGGAGTCGGAGTCTCTCTCCAGAGGGGGCGTTATTCAGAGCTGTGAAGTGTTAAGTGATTGGAATTACATGGTTGAAAGGGAGGCCAACTAACCTCCCCACTCTGTGATAGATTTTAATGATGTGACTACAAGGCCCTGCCATGCAGCCCTCGGGGAAGGGCACCGGGACTATTCTTATTAAGAATGGCTGATATCTCCCTGGGCCTCTAGTCTGGTCTCTCTAGTCTTGTTGCTACGCTATTGGCTGGGTTCAGCTCCACTTTCTGCACTTTCTGCACAGCTGGAACCGCCTGCGTGACAGCCCCCGATCCTGCAGACCCATCCCCCGCTTGTGGGTTCTTTGTGAAAAAGGCTCCTGGGACATTGGCATTGATTCTTTCTGTAGCAGAGAAAGGTCTTCATTTCAGGCCTCTCAGAAATCATCCTGTGTTGTTCTGGCGGCTTCTGTATTTATTTACCTTGGGCACTTGGAAGGTATTTGCGCACCCAGCAGCACTGAGTGTGTAGCGTGTGTTTTCCTTGATTTAGCCCCGTGTTTGGCTTTAGAGTTTAAGAAAATGAAGCACAGAAATGGAAATTTTGTTGTTAAAGATTGTGAGAATCCCCCACTCCCAAGCCCTCTCCTACCCCTGGCTCTAACTGGGATCTTCTTCTTGGGCAAGGTCCTGTTGGAGGATGTGTGCGTTAGGGGCCAGGGAAAGGACCTGGAATGCTTTCAAAGAGGCCTTCTGAGCTTCCCACGCTGCAGCCCGTTTTTCCTCTCCTCCCTGCTTCCTGTCTTATCAAAAGATGAAAGTGAAAGGATTAAATGTGCGCTTAATTTTCCCCACTATTCATCAGAGCATGAAATTTTCTGATTATGGAGTGTGGGGGGCTTGAATCCCAGGTACAGTCAAAAATGATTAATGCCACTTGTCTGCCAGCCTAATTAGACTTGGTAATGAACGTGTGTGTTTGCCTGCTGATCCTGCGGAGTTATTAGGTGGAAGTGAATTGACATCTCCCCGCAGCACTGAGGGTTTGGTCTGATATCCTCTCTCTTCTCCCCAATTCTACCGGCGAGCCAGCCTGTGCCAAGCCTGGCAGGTAGTCCCTGAGTGACAAAGAAAAGACAGCCCCCAGCCCAGTCCCAAGGGCCCTGCCTCGGTGGGAGAGTGAATTTATCCTGTCAGGGAGCTACCTCCTGTGAAGTGTGAGCAGGTCAGGGGCCAGAGGCTCAGGGGAAGCTGCCGCAAGGCCGAACCCAGGTCTGAGAATGGGCATAAGAAGAATTCTTTGCATGTCAGTAGTGCCTTTTCTCTGAAGAGCCCAAAGTGTTTTCATGCCCGCTGCTACATTCATGCTCAAAATAGTTTCATGAGGTCAGAATACAGGGATACAGGGATGCTTAGCTCAGCTGAAAGGGAATTACCTGGCCAGGAGTCACCTGCTGGCTTTGCCAGGGACAGTGGTAAAGTTAGAACCTCTCGGGCGGGCCTCATTCTGACAGGTCTTCAAGGCTTTGGTGCTGTCTCAGGCCCTCAAGCCATTTCCCCCGCTTTGGGCTTCAGAGTCAGCACCTCTGTGTGAGAGGCTGCTACCTGAGGTGGGATGGCCATGGGTGGGTCCCAGCTCCTGCACCCCAGTGTTCTCCCACAGGGTTCTCTCTGGCTCCCACACCCACCCCTCATTCCTCAGTTTCCCCATGGAGGGCAGCTGCTGGCATTCTTGCTCTGCCCAGGCTTACTATGAAGGCTGCTGAGGAACCTGTAAACACATCTCTGGCCTCACCAGAGGCCCTTCCTGTTCGCATTCCTCAGATGGCAAGGTGAGTATTCTTGGGTGGGTGAGTATTTGTGGGTGTGCAAAGCATGCAAGCTCCCCACCCCCAGCCCTTCTGAGGGAACCATGTTCCTGGGGCTCAGTCAGCACCAGCTGGTATGATTTCCTTCTCACAAGCTTGCAGACCTGGGTCTGTGCTGGTGGCAGGATGCTTTCTGCCTCCCTGCAGGGTCTCGCTCTGTCTCTGCTGACTCTGGGCACCTGCCCCTCCCGCAGGGCTCTGTTCTGACTCTCCATGGCTGGGTGGGGAAGGGCTGGCGGCAGCTGGGAAGGCCGGGCCTGACTGGGGAGATGGTTTTGCATTTAGTCATTTTCAGTTTTTTTCCAAGACTTTTGGCAAGCCTTTCTCCACATGTTCCGGGCTGGATCTCAGGGTCGGAAGGGGAACAGAGCCAGTTTTGGGGCTTAGGGGAAACAGCGAGGAGGCTGAGGTGATGACGTTAGACCAGGCAGAAGGCTGGGTTCCCTGGGGGCACTGGTTTAAGTGGAATAAAGTCGGGGCTTGGGAGCAGTCATGGGTTGCCCCACCCCAAGGTCAAGACTATCTTGACTCACACCTGGGGAAGTGACTTTTGAGTTTTTTCTGAAGCACTCATAACTATGCTGAGGAGACTTGGGCAGAGCCTGGTAGACCCCAAGAACTCTCCATGGTGTGGTCTTTGGCTGAAGTGGCCCACAAGGCCATGCCGGGCCTGTTCTAGCATGCCTGTGGTTCCTAGAGTACACAAAGGTTTGTGAGAGATGTACCCATTGGGAAATCTTTGAGGTTTGATTCTCTTTTTTTACCCTTTTTGGAGAGGAAGGAGGAAGGGCAGTGGGGTCCCTCCTGGCATCATAGCATGTGTCCAGCCTCCCAGGGGAGAATGCCCCACTTTGGCTGAGGAGTCTGGTGACCCCTGGGAATTGTAGCAGGTTCTAGATTTTCTTTCGGATTTTCCTACCTATAACTACTGCCCTGGCCCCATTTGAGGGCATGGGGCAGAGGGATCGGGGGGAATGCAAGATGTGCATGCTGAGGGTCTATAAGAGGGGTGGTGTTGGAAAGAGTAGTCTGTTCATTTTTGTGTGGCACTGAGCAGGTGAGTGGATGGCTGAGTATGACACTTACCTGTGACAGGTTTATTCTTCAGTGGAGGGCCTATGTGCCACCTTCTGCTCCCCATTCCTGTTTTTTGAACAAACATATTTCCAGGGTGGGGCAGGTCTTATTTAGACATCTGCAATGGCCATTGGCTGGGGCTGCTAGAAAATTAAAACTTGGCTTACATAGACCTTTAAGAAATCAGACTCCAGGTTCATGAAAGTCAGGCCAAAAAGAAGAGTGATGTTCTTATTTTTTTAAAATCCTTTTATGTTTTGTTTCTACTGGATGCTAGAGCTGGAAAAGAATTATCATTGTGTTTGCTGAAGATACAAGCTGGCATTCTGTGAACCTGCTAGGATGAGTATATTCACATGGAATAGGAAGAGTTGAGAATGGCAAAGAAACTGTGGGAGCAGAAATAACTTTTGTTGCACTTGGCTATCACTAAGGCCGTTTGATGTGCACTGCCTCTGTCAGGATTGCAATTCTGTTTCGTCGGTAGAACTGATGTAATCAGGGCCATCTCATAGATGAGGAAACACAGCATTCAGGGAAGTCAAATGACTTCGCTAAGATAACCCAGATCATTAATAGCAAAGCCAGCACCAGAACCCAGCATGGCATTTTGCCTTAGGCTAATATCATTGATCACGCAAGTTAGTTGAGTTTACTTATCCATCTGCTGCCCTTCTGCTGGTGAATGCTGAAATGTCCAAAAAAGGAGGTACAGGAAAAAAAGGGAGGTGAGCCCTATACAAGCTAGAGAATCAGCCAGGGCTGGGTAATTGAGAGTTGGCTCCACTTAAGCCAATTTTCAACAATCAGTTTCTAAATTGATTGTCACCATGTGCAAATCATGAGATCTTTAGAAAAAGGGTGAAGTTTTTCCAAATCCTAAGATGAAAGAAATAAGTGTGTCTCTCCCCGCTCCCACCTCACCCCGTAGGTGTTCAGGGTGTGTAGGGGGTGGGCCTGGAAATGCAGGTGGAGGATCTTTTTCTGTTCCAGTCCTCCTTCTTGCCATGGCCCAGCTCTCAGAGTTCATGACACAGCACTAGTCAGGAACCAAAGTGAAATTAACAGACTGGATCCTAGAGGGGACAGCTAGGGTGAAGAAGACATGGATAGGGACTGGACAATAATCTGAAGCTGCCTAATGGACCTCTGGCTCTAATCTCAGGCAGTGATGTGGCCCCATGAGAAAAAATACATCTGGGGAAACCTCCCACCCCCAAGCCAGCTCTGACTCTCTATATTTCTCCAGGTTCATCTCTTATTTGGGAACAGGTACCATTGCTTACTTTTCTTGCTGATTTGCAGGAGGCTGTTTTTTCTATCCAAGTTGAATGGAAGTTGGAGACTTGGTGGTCTCTGCTGAAAGAATTATGTGGATTATTTTTTGCATCTGAAGAAAGTATTAACCTCCCCCACCTCAAACAAAACCTCAGAGATGCCTTATTATTCAACTGGAACAGATTCCAGCTGTAACATGAGAGTTTTGAGAGAAAGCGTTGAGCATATTGTCCATGAATGTCTACCCTAGTGATGAGTGTTTTTTAAAAGCCATCTGGAGGTACCTTTATATAAAATAGGGTGATAATATATTGTACCCCAGCAAGTAAGATGGTGAAGGTTGTTGCTTCAAATTATGCTGGGCCATGGCTGAACTTGCCTCCAGCATGGAGGTCATTGAGTCATTGCTTAGATGTCAGAGACAGCAAGAGGTCATTGCAGGCATTTCCCTGTCTCTAGGTAGTGCTCCTCCCAGACCATCATTACAGTAGAAAAATCTATCTAGTTTTCCAAAGGTCAGGAATGAAGATCCTAGAGCTTCTGAAAGCCCCATCTCCAGACTCTGCCAGTTCTTTCCTGTTGTCTTTCCCAATGGCTTAACCTGTCAAAGAACAGCTCAGTGATGAGGAGAAAAGAGAAGTGAGGTCAGCATATTCTGCAGCCCAAACGGTGCATTCGGAAGGGATTTCCCCGCATTACACGTGACTTTTTTTTTTTTGAGATGGAGTCTCGTTCTGTCGCCCAGACTGGAGTGCAGTGGTGCAATCTCGGCTGACCGCAACCTCTGCCTCCTGGGTTCAAGTGATTCTCCTGCCTCAGCCTCTTGAGTAGCTGGGACTACAGGTGCGTGCCACCACACCCGGATAATTTTTTTGTATTTTTAGTAGAGATGGGGATTCACCGTGTTAGCCAGGATGGTCTCAATCTCCTGACCTTGTGATCCGCCTGCCTCGGCCTCCCAAAGCGCTGGGATTACGGGCATCAGCCACCACGCCTGGCCGTGACTCATATTTTAAAGTTCCCCCAGCAGCCCTGTGTTCTCTTCTTTGAGGGCGGGGATGGGAATGAGCCCTTGCCTGTGCTCAGCCAGGCAGGACTTCCTAGGCCCTCTTGGAGATCTTGGGTGCAAGGACCAGCAGGGCAAGGAACTTGGCCCCCACCCCTTGTTTGATGGTCCCAAGTGTCATTTCAGGACCCGGACTTGCTTATGCCCTTCTTCTGGTACAGAGGTTGCTTGGTAAACTAGAGAGGGCCACAACAAAGGCCATGGGCAGCTCCCTTCTCCCTGAGGAAGCATTAGGGAGAAAGAATCAGTCCGCAACTGAGGAAGGGTGGCATCTGAGCACAGACGTATAAGTGCATCTTCCACCAGAGATTCTGCAAGTGTGTGAGTCCTCTGAGGTGGATTTCCTCTGGTTAAGGGATAGGTGTCCCTGCTGGGCATGGAGGCTTCACCCCTGTAATCCCAGCACTTTGGGAGACTGAGGCAGGATGATCTCTTGAGCCCAGGAGTTCGAGACCAGCCTGGGGAACATGGTGAGACCCCCACCTCTACAAAAAATATAAAAATTAGCTGGGTGTGGTGGTGCCCACCTGTAGTCCCAGCTACATGCTGGGGGGTGGGAGAATCACTTGAGCCCAGGAGGTCGAGGCTGCAGTGAGCTATGATTGGACCATTGCACTCCAACCTGGATGACAGAGCAAGATCCTGTCTCAAAAAAAAAGAAAAAAGAACAAGTGTCCCTCCTTCATGTTAAGCTGGTCCCCGCTGGTGGTTGGCAGGTGAGTCCTGTCATCTCTGGGCAGCCTGGGAGGGACACCCCTCTCTAGTGGCTTTTCTGGAAGGCTCTGCTGCCTGTCTGGTGCCAGTCTTCTGTCTTGGACTGGGCAACAGGGCCTCCCAGAACTTTTCTACTAGGGCTTGGCAGCTTCTGGGAGTCAGAGTGAGAGAACACCTGTGAGTACTGTTTTGGGGCAAGAGAACAATATTTCTGCCCTTTTGTGACAGACTGATCTTTTCTCACCACCCCACACCCATAGGGTCACATCCGCTTCTGCTCAGGTATCTAGTCTCAGAAAAATGAATGGCCTGACCCTCTTAAAGCAACACCACCTCCTTATGGGCCCCTCCCCCACCCTGGGCTTAGCATGGGAGGATGTGAAT